>NW_003315945.1:0-192462 GCF_000001405.40 Homo sapiens | reverse complement strand
GAATTCCAGCCTGCAATGGGGTCAGGCAGCATTTATGGACAGAATAGGAAAGTGAGGTACAGAGGCAGTTCCATTGGTTACAGCTCAGCATTTGCCTTATTTGAACGTGGCCTGATCGGTGGGGCGCCTGTGATTGACTGAAGCTTGGCTGCTGTGATTGGCTGAGACTCAGCTGTTTGTTACAAGAGTATACTCCTGAGTTAGGCTTTCAGTGAGCTTACCTGCTAAGATAGGTTTGCAGTTCATTATATAAAGACTCAAGTACGGAGATATCCTCAGGCCAAATTTAGTTTAATTTAACAGTTGGGTGTGGAGCTTCTGAGGAGCTGATAATATCCTAATTATGACTCTGGCTGCTGGTGATAGGAATGTATTCACTTTGGAAAAATTCATCAAGTACTTCTCTATATGACATGCTCTATATTTGAACGAAAATGTATTCAAACGAAGCAAAAAGAATAGAGGTTTAAACAGTCCTTCCTCTCTTCTATTGGATCTCACAGGATTATTATACAAACAAGTAACGTCAGGAATGTAAAACATCAATATATTATATTTTGAATTACACACTTATAATATGCTTCCAAATTGCTTAGCTGCATAATTATTTTGTGTGTATATTATGTGTAGTGCATAATTAATAACATTTATGGAACAGTTGCAATTTTCCTTGCATTTGCTTCTTTAATTCTCATACAAAAATGGTGTAGCAGGCAGGTCAGATATTGTCTTAAATTTACAGATGAGAAAATTTAAAATTAAATGCTCACAGTGAATTACATACCTCCAGCCAGTTGTCTATACTTTTTCTTCAAATTAAATACTAATTCTAACTGGGTAAACTTTAGTAACCTCAAGAGGTTACCTGGGACATATCCAAGGTCACCCAGCTAGAATTAGTATTTAATTTGAGGAAAAAGTATAGGCAACTGGCTGTAGGTATGTAATTCACTGTCTGCATTTTTATCTTGCTTCACATTTCAGAAATCCCAGGTAGAAGGAATGTAAGAGCTAAGATCTTGGGTGCAGTTTTCCTTCTGCTTCTCTAACATGGCCAGATTGTACAATCTTTCCATGTTACAGTTGATACTCACTAATAGACTCTGGCTGGAACACGACATTTATCTCCTTCTCATTTGTACCGCACAAATGAAGTTAAAATAATGGCACTTTGTTGGCACTGAGGAAAGCCAGTTCCAAAGTGTCCCACTTTTTCTCTGCTATTCAGCATTTAGAGCTGATGCAAAATAACAAATGTCTGGCCCAGTTTGAGAACACAGACTGGTGGTGTAGTAAAGGCAAGGACTTGTCCTTCCAATAAATGCTTAGTCATGGGGTCTCCCATTCTTCCCACGTGGACCTGCCAGGTCTCCTTGAGGAGGGTCCTGGAGTGGCCATCAGTGAGAGTGAAACAAGAAGGGGAAGGCTGAGCTGGTGATCAGGTGATCCTCTCTTTGAGTCTTAAAAGTATGAAGTGGGATAGGAGGCTGGACAAGAAGGGGGAAGACCCTCATTTCAGTTAAGACCCCGTGATGTTACCCACTAGCCATGGGAAACTGAGCAAGCCACAAAACCACATCATCATGGAGTTTTGTGGAAAGAGCCCTGGATTTCGAGCCAGGCAAACTTGGGTTCAATTCTGACTCGGCATCTTAACAGCTGTGTGACCTTGTTCCAATGCATCACCTTCTCTGTACCTCATTTTCTGTAAATGAAAGGGGTTCTTTGGATGTCCTTGAAGGAGCCACTTCCTGCTAGCCATATTATGATCTCCAAGGATCCATATCCCCATCTATAAAGTGGGGAGGGTGATTCCCGAAGGTTCATCCTCCAGGCTTGCTGGGAGATGCATGGGGATCAGGCAGCAGTGGGCGCTTGGGAGTTTTCCTCAGTGCTAAATATTTGGGGTTGGGAGCTGCTGCCTAGATTTTCAGCAGCATAATTATTAACCATTAACCCCACTTTCTTTTCTGATCTCTTTCATAGGCTGTATTTTGTTGGAACAATTATCTTACATTAGCTGGCTCTTTAATTTATTTATTATTATTATTTTTTGAGACGGAGTCTCTCTGTGTCGCCAGGCTGCAGTGAAGTGGCGCGATCTTGGCTCACTGCAACCTCTGCCTCCCGGGTTCAAGAGATACTCCTGCCTCAGCCTCCCGAGTAGCTGGAACTACAGGCACCCGCCACATTAGCTGGCTTTTAAAGGTCTGTTCATCCCTCAGTGACAAGGCAATTCAGGTTAATCACATAGAACTGGCAGAGCAGCATTCCACTGGTTACTGAAAGGAGGGAGAGGTCCTCTTGTGTTCTGATTCTACTCACTCTTTTCCCTTAACCCCTTGCTGTCTCAGGGCTAAGCAGTTCCAGGAGAGCACTGAGCACATGCACACGTGTACACACACACACACACACACACACACACACACACACACACACACCTCATGCATCCCTTCTGAGGCTTACTGGTTTGTCTGTGGAGACAAGAACCAAGCCACAGCCCTGTGGGGAGGAGCTGGGGCCAGGACTCTCTTGCAGAGACTGCTAGAGCATCCAGGGAGGTCAGGAGCAGGGATGCTGGCTTCAGTGGTCTCCCTGTCTTGGATTCATATGACTTCAGCCATATCCACACCCTTGTGGTCACTTTAGGAGGTGAGGATCTTGTAGGGTCCCTGCTCTGTGGAGATGGCAGGGCTTCCCCACTGAACTTAAAAGAACCTTCAGATTGTCTGCTAACTAACTCTCTCTCTCTGTGTGTGTGTGTGTGTGTGTGTGTGTGTGTGTGTGTGTGTGTTTAAAGGAGACACAGTGCCACCCTCCCCTGAGGCCAGCACATTAGTGGCAGAAGGGGTTTGAGAGCCCCAGAAGGGCAAACATTGCCATTGGAGTGCCTAGGCTCTGAGACCCAGCCAAGCTCCCACAGGGAGAGTGTCCCATTATAACCCTTGGAGGCTGTGCTGAGTTGAATATTGTCTCCCAAAACTTCATGTTCACTGAATCCTTAGCATATGGCTTTATTTGAAAATAGGATCTTTGCACATGTAACTAGTTCAGTTAAGATGAGGTCATACTGGGTTAAGGTAGATCTTAATCCAAGGCTGCTGTCCGTATAAGAGAGGGAAATTTGGACAGAGTAACACAGACACAGGGAAGAAGGCCTTATGAAGACAGAGGCAGAGATCGGAGTGACGCAGCTGCAAGGCAAGGAATGCCATGAAAACCACCAGAAGCTTGAAAGAGGCAAGGAAGCATTCTTACCTAGACCTTTCAGAGGGAACAAGGCCCAGCTGTCACTTTGATTTCAGACTTCTGGCTTCCAGAACTGTGAGGGAATACAGTTCTGTTGTTTTAAGCCACCCAGGGTGTGGTGCTTTGTTATGGCAGCCTTAGGAAGCTAATATAGAGGCCAAGCTTTGATTCTTCTTGAGACCATGCTTATAGTTTAGCCCATGCTTTTCCCAGCCTGGGCTGAACTCTATTATTCATTTCACCAGCAGTCCAGCTTCAGATGTAAATTTGCTTCTGAAAGTCCGTGTTCCTGAAGAGAAATCACCCAGCTGAGTACAACTCAGCCAATACCATATCCATTCATCACTCTTTGGACCTAAATGAGAAAGAGAGATGGTCTTTTCTCTCCTCGGCTCCCCATTTTGTGTTCATCTTTGCAGGTCTTGGTGGAAACTCAGGATTCATAAAGACCTAGATCCCCGGTCCCCAGGAATGCCAGGCTTCTCTTGGCGATATCCCCACCAAGAGGTCATCTTGCCTATGGCTTGGGCCCCTCTGGGATCTTTGTAATGTCTTGTTGCTCCTTCCCTTCCAAAAATAAGTGTTGACTACCTGTTGTGTGCCAAGCATTATGTGGTAAGCAAATAGTCTCAGTCCCTGGCCTTGCAGAGCTCATGTTTTGGTGGAAATTTGATGCTGGAAAGCTCTTCCTCTGTTGGCCTTGCAATCTGCCAACCATGAAATCCAAGGCTGTTCTTGGTCTAAGTCGGTGGAGATTGTGGTACTAAATCCTACACCATTCCCTTGGAGGCTGGACACATCCTGCTCTCATATCTAGACCAATGCAGGCATCAGGAAAGGATAAGACTGTTGAAATGGCATCTTCCTGCCCTCCGATGAGCCTGGGTTGCTGTAAATTGTCCCCACATCCATTTTACAAGGCAATTGGTATTTTAAAACACTGTAACAATGAGACAATTGGTAATTTCCGTGCTTTATTTATCTCCAAATCAAATTAAGCATTGGGCGTGTGAACTGGAAGGAATAGTTGTTTTTATTATGTGGGTCACACATTGTCATAATTTTGAGGTGTATTACCACACATGTATTTGACATAATGCAATGTACATCATGTAAATTATACAATCTGTTCTACTAATTAAAATGTTTACAATGTACTATGTATTTTATTGTATCAGAAATAAAATCTTTGGCAAGCTTACCAAATTCATTGAACAATCTGATGACATTTTATAGACATTTAGAGCTGGCAGGAACTTTAGTATTTATTTAGCTTTCCCATTTTTATGACAGAGGAAACTGAAATGGAAAGAGCTAAACTAACCCGTTAAATAAATCACTAGAGATACATTAGAGAATCAAACATCATCTCTCAGCATCTTTCTAGCAATGTGTTGAGACAGATTCCCATTTTGTGGATATTGAAGGATACTGAAGCTCTTGAGAAGTGAAAGCTTTTGATGTCCGGCCAAGGTCACATGGCTGGTAGTTCCATATATGTGAGATGTACTGTGCTTGTAATGTGAGTTATGCATCTTGATGTTTGCATAGTGATAGAGACAATTTAACACGTGTTTCTTTTCTACTTTAAAATTCTGTGGTGGGAGTTGGGTTTCTGTTGATGAGTAGTGGGATAATAACCCTTAATGGACCAAGGCTGACACTGGCAGGGGAGAGGGTCTTCTTCCCACTGCATGGGGTGGTCAAGGTGGGTCTTCATTTGCTTTCAACAGGATGGGCCTGGGACAAAACAAGATTATGTACTTCCTGTGATCAAGGAAATCCTCAGGGTTAGTGGGGTCTCTTAGCAGGAGCCTTTTGGGGACTGAAGCCAAGTAGCAAACTGGCTTAAGGAAGCCATGCTTATGAAGAGATCCTAGAGCATTAATCCAGCCTATCACATGCTTCTGGTGCAGATGCTAGTTGCCAGGACTTTGTCTCAAGACCTCTGCTCCAGGGATGCAAGATGCTGGTCCTCCAGAACTCTGGCTTGGCTCCTCAAACCTCTGATCCAGGCTGCTGATCATACAGTGTTGCCAGAACAGCCACTGGAAGGGCCTGAAGTGGGGTTGGAACATCGTTGATAGTGTCTTGGGGCTCAGTTCTTCTTAAAGGTCGAATGAAGCTCATAGACAGTTCTGGCAAAGTTTGGCACCTACCATAGGTGAGGCGTCAGAGAGGGTTATGTCTGGAGACAGAAAGTACTAAAGCTAATTTACTCATTTATTCCATTCATTGATTCATTCATTCAAGAAATATTTACTAAGCATTTGCCATATACAACTCCTATTTCAGGGTGCCGCTAGATACTGCAGTGAATAGACAAGCTTCCTGCCCTTGTGAAGCTCCCATTTCAGAAGAGAGACAGATAATACATAAGCAGACATCTTCGTGTAGAATGTATCGTCACAGAGTGATGAACCTTATGCAGAAAAGCAAAGGACAGCAAAAGCATAGAGGGTAATGAGATGCATAATTGTAGGCAGGGTGCTCAGACACCTCTGAAGTTGGCACAATCGAGCAGAGAACAGAACACAGTGAGAAAGTCAACCCCTGGTCTATTTGGAGGAACGGCATTCTAGACAGAGGGAGCTTAAGGTGCAAATACCTTGAGAGGGAAGCACGATTGTGGTGCCCAAGGAAAATCACAGAGGTGGGTGTGGCTGGAGAGGAGCAGGGAGAGAGGGCCAGGGGTTAGGAAATCTCATCTCCAGTCCCAGATCTTTAATACTTGCCTGTGAAGTTGGGCACATCATTTACCTTTTTAAAACCTCCTTAAAATGGAGTTATCTTCCTTTTGTTGTGTTCCTTTTGTTTACCTGGAAGGATGGTTGTTAGTGTTAAAGGAGATCATGTAGGTAAAAACATTTTGTAAACTGTTAAGAAGCAAGCGCATAAAAAGGACCATACTTTTTTGTTTAGCTTATCATTATCCTGGGTATTCAGAAATAATCTATCACATGTTAACTGATGGTGAAAACACTTACAGGATACAATCTTGGTGAACTGCAAGCAGACTAACTGGTTAAATAGAGTCTTTAAAGGATGTGGAGATAGGAGAAACTGCATTCATGTGGGCTTGGTGTTTTTTTCTTTAAGTTCTAGAGGATTCAGCCCCAACACCCATAAACTTCTGTATCTCCTGGGATCCATGAGACCAATGGTATTCAGAATAATGGTCTGTACCCTCATGCTTTCCATCTCAAACCAAAATTTCTTTATAATCCTTGAGCCCTATTAAATGAGTCTGGAAAAGGATCTTGATTTTCTTGTAGCATTTCAGCAAAGTTTGTGAAGTAAAGGGAAATGAGGTCACCCCCTGTGTTAGATGTATTATTTCTCCATAATTCTTTCTTTCCTCTATGTCCTAGCCATGGATTATCCATAGCTCTAGTATACCTCCCTGCACCATTGATTTTGGGCTTGGTCATATGGTTTGCTTTGGCCAATGGGATGTGGGCAAAAGTGACATAGTGCAAATTCCAAGCTGAGACCTTAAGTGAGTTTCTTCCAGCTCCCTTGTAGCTTCTGCTCTGCATTATGAGAACATGTGCCATCCTGAGGGAAGACACAGAGAAGAGATCTGAAACATCCCAAAGCATGGGTCTAGTCTAGTTTGTGGAGCTCTGCTAAACCTAGCTGAGAACAGCCAAACTGCAGTTGACCCATGAGTATGAAATGAATGCTTAATATTGTGAACCATTAGGATTTTGGGATTATTTGTTACACAGCATTATTACAGTAAAACCTGACTCTTACACCATCCGAAATGACAGAAAAAATTTTAAACCACATCAGCCTCTTCTCCAGCCACTTGGATTCCCCAGGGTTACTCTGAGCTATCTGGTGAGCTGCTCAGCCTGCTCTTTGCTCTCTTCTGTGGCTTTCCCTCATTTGCCCACATCAATGACTATTCATTAGGTAGAAGAGGATTAAAGAACAGCCTCACCAGGTGTGGTGGATCATGCCTATAATTCCAGGATTTTGGGACGCCAAGGCAGGTGGATCATTTGAGGTCAGGAGTTTGAGACCAGCCTGGCCAGCATGGTGAAACCCCATCTCTACTAAAAATACAAAAAAATTAGCTGAGTGTAGTGGCACAGGCCCATAATCCCAGCTACTTGGGAGCCTGAGGCAGGAGAATCACTTGAACTCAGGAGACAGAGGTTTCAATGAGCCAAGATCATGCCACTGCACTCCAGCCTGGGCAACAGTGAGATGCTGTCGCAAACCAAAAACAAACAAACAAAAGAACAGCTTCCATGCCTATCTCCACTACAATGCCTAACCCCAAATCCAGCCTGTGTTGATACCAAAAGGAAAATTTTGAAGTTAAGATGGCTTATAGAGCCCTTTGAGATGGAAGGCTGGAACTGCAAGTACATCAGTCTCTTCTGGCTTCAAATGAGAAATAGTGGTCCCATAGAGAAAAAGCCACAGAAAACCATCTGCAACTGCAAAGTCACCTTTATGTTTGAAGACTGACTCATATCAAAAGCTTTGAGACTTGGTGAATAAAGAAATTACTTTCCCCTTGTCAGCAACTGCTATCACTTAGGTTTAACAAATACATTCAGAATTTACAGTCCAGTATCTCTGGCTATGCCTACCTGATGGATAGATGAATGATCTTCAGTGGATCCTCCAGCTTATTGTAATTAGAAAAGCTTCCCATAGGACAGGCAGAGCAGGGAGAACGTGATGTGAAACCCAAAGGCATAAGAGACCCCTAGACCAGAGAGTCACCTTGGCACCTTCTGGCCTCAATTGTGTCTGAATCATAAACTCTGGACACCTCAGGGCTGGAAGGGGTTTAAAGATCATCTGCCTGCTCCCTGTCCTAATTCTTGAAACTTCTAAAAGCATCTCTGAGAAGTGCGTGCCTATCTGCAGACACTTCCAGTGAGAGAAAACACTTCTTTTCAAGGCTACATATATCATTTTTTAATAACTCTGTACTGTGGACTGAATGTATCCCCCCACCCCCACCAAATCCATATGTTAAAACTGTAATCTCCAATGTGATGGTATTTGGAGATGGAGTCTTTGAAAGGTAATTACGTTTAGATGAGATCATCAGGGTAGAGCCCTCATGATGGGGTTGGTGTCCTTACACAAAGAGGCACCAGAGTGGGTTTGTGTTTGTGCTCTCTCTCTCTCCTGTTTGACATCTGAGGAAGATCTGGGCAAGATGGCCATCTGTAAGCCAAGAAGTAAGCCCTTACCACATGCTGAATTTGCTGGTGCCTTGATCTTGGACTTCACAGCCTCCAGAATCATGAGAATATAAATGTCTGTTGTTTAAGCCACCAAGTCTATGGCAATTTGTTGTTGCAGCCCAAGCTGACTAATGCATTCTGGTTGTTAAGCAGTTTTCGCTGCTACCAAGTTACTCTCTCTCTCTCTCCCTTCCTCTCTCTCTCTCTCTGTGTGTGTGTGTGTGTGTGTGTATCTCACTCTCCCCCAACTCTTCACCAATTTTAAAGGTTTAGAACAGGAGGATTAAGCCTGTAAAGGATTAGACCCTGTGGTAAATTTTTTGGGGCCTTGTGGGCCATATAGTCTCTATATCAACTACTCAACTCTCACAGTGTAACACACAAAAGCAGCTATCAATAATATGCTGTGTTCTGATAAAACCTTATGGACACTGATGATTTTTGCTTGTCACAAAATATTCTTCTTTTGATTTTTTCCAACTATTTAAAAATGTCAAAACCATTCTTAGCTTGTGAGCTGCACAAAAATGGTTTGAGGCTGGTTTGGCCCACAGGCTATAGTTTGTTGACCTCTGGCAAAGCTTCTCTCTCTTTTTCAACATAGTCTTCTTTCAATTATGAGTAATTTCTACACCATCCTGGAGACTCATCAAACACATATCGAACACCTCTTATGGGCCAGGGGAGCAATACTGTATCAGGTGATGGTAACATGAATCTGACAGTGACATGGTCTCTGTTCCAAGGAGCCTGGGCAGAGGTGAAACTAATTTCAAGGACATCTCTCACCTTCACAAATCCCTATAGCCCTTAAGGTTGGAGAGATGTCTACCTCCATTTAAACTTTGCTTGAGCCCATTAATTTTGCTCTTGCCTCATGCTCAGTGCACAGTGCAATAGAAAACCAACTTTACCACATTTCTTTTGATTATCTACTTACCTTTGGCTTTTATGGGTCTATTTTAAGTCTTGTGACCTTCTGTTATTCTAAAGGAGAAGACAAGGAGGTAGATGACACTATCTTTTACTAAGTTAAGTGACCTAATCATGCAAGAGTTACAGGTTTCTGTTCATTTGCAACATAGCATGCTCCTGAATCACTGCAAAAGCAATTGCATTCCAACCATCAATACTCCTGGCAATGCAAAACTCCTCTTGGTTGCTTTCCCCATCTGTGCGGTGCTGGGACCATCTGAAATGTTTCTAAGGAGCTTATGTTGCCCATTTTGGGGAAATAAATGGGTTGGAACTCAGCACCACTGCTAGGGTAGAGGAGTCCCTATGTTAAAGTATTAAATTGCAGTTTTAGTGGAAATTCAAGCTTTTGTGTGATGGTGAAGCAAAGTCAAATGGTAGCATTCACTCTGATTCATAAGACCAATGTTCTGTGGTCTGGAGGCTCTGGATTCAGGACATCGGTCTAGGACAGAGTCTACCCTTCTAGGCTTCCTCCTGACTTTCCTTCCAGGAACCCCCTCCACAGTTTCCATACTGTACTTCCAAGAGCATCAGAGAAATTTTCCTGGTCCAGACATGGAATTAGAGAATTTTGCCAGCAGAAAATCTCTATCCTGTGGGCTCCCTTTTCTTCCCAAACTGTCCCCATCCTGGATGGGTCTGGCTGTCTTGAGATAAGTAGTAGATCCTGCTCTTTGTTAGTGGGGCTCCAGCACACTGCTCAACTCCAAAAAGGGTAATAAGATTTTTAGGATTATTAAATTCAAAAAAATTTCCAATATGAATTCATTAGCTCACTCATTCATTTATCCAGTAAATATTCTAGAGAACCTACTGCTTCCCGGGCTTCAAAAGGGACACACAGCTGAAAAAGGCCTGGCCCTGGATTCTGGGGTCTTTGTTGGAGGGCAAGACAATGATTGAACTCGGATGTTACGAGTACCCTGATAGAGGCATAAACAAGACTCCATAAGGCACCAACAGGGGATACCCTCCTGCCATGTGAAGGGTACCATTGTCTAGTTGCCCTGAGGACTGGAGTCCCAGGCTAGGGGTGCTGAAAATCCAGCCAGCTCCCTCTGGCTTATGGCCATACTTTGCAATCCTCACTACAATGATGATGTGTCTGTTTCCTAAGGTGGAAAGTCCCATGCAAGTCCCAACCATTACCAGGAATAGGACTCCCAACATTTACCTTGCTGATTGCAAAGGAGGCCAGGGATCTGGAGCACCAATAGTAACAACAACAGTAGCCAAAATAATAGCTGATGTTTATGGTGTGCTTACGGTGTTGTGTGCCTGGCACTGTGCTAAGCATGTTAAATGCACTTTCTAATTTAAACTTCACAGCAACCCTTTGTGGCATGTGCTGTTATCATACAGAAGAGAAAATCAAGGCCAGAAAGGTTAACCACTTGCCCCAGGTCTAAGAAGTGAAACAGCAAGATTGGACCCAGGCAGCCTGAGTTCAGTGTCTCTTCCTTGTTTGTGGCATCTCTGTAAGGAAATTGAGACAGTCAGCTACGTTTTACACATCCCTCCTGTGCTGGGCCCTTCCCTTCCAATGTCTCATTTAATCCAAATGACACCCTAGGAGGTGAATATTAGTTATCCCAGTTTTACAGATAGGATTCTTGCAAGGAAGTGACTTGCCCAAGGCCATGCAGGGTCTTGGGCATGCTTCACATTTTGACTGTTCAGCCCAATCCAAGAGAGACAAGAGAAGGGGGCTCAGAACTGCCCTCAGAACACTTACAATCTGGGCAGGATCTACCCAACATGCCATTCGTTCACAACACTTAGCATCCCTCCCTAAGGTCCAGATGACAAAGTGCATTCATTTCCATGACCTAACTATGTGCAGAGACTGTGGAAAACTGGGAATTGTTGCTTGACAGTTGGACACTGGGATTCCAAAGGGAGGAGGAGGTAAATAAAAGGGATCTGGACCCTCGCTGCTAGAAGTGTGGTCCCAGACCAGCAACATTGACCCAACCTAGGTGCTTGATTCCCTGAAGAGTGACAGTTATTTCCAGGGCATGGCATTCTTCCTTGGGCACCAGTAACCGACCTGAGCCCAACTTGTTCCTTCCTCACAGGTACCTTGGCGCACACAAGGAGCTCTCATCAGACTGCTGGAGACCTGGGTTCTATGCAGCAATCCTTCTCACTTGCTGTGTGACTTGGGGCACGTTCCGACCCCTCTCTGGGCCTTAGTTCCCTTCTGTAAGGGAAAAACACTGCCCAGATAGTCGTTTTCAATCCTCATGGCCTATAGTTATCTCTTGGGGAGCTTTTAAATAATTCTGATGCCTGGGGCTTATAGCCAGAAATCCTGATTAGTCAGGGTAGCATGAGGCCCTGGAATTGGTATTTTTAAACCTTCCCCAGCTCGTTACATTGGTTTTGGGTTTTTTGTTTGTTTGTTTTTTGAGACAGAGCGAGACTCTGTTGCCCAGGTTGGAGTGCAGCTGTACAATCTCGGCTCACTGCAACCTCTGCCTCCTGGGTTCAAGCGATTCTCCTGCCTCAGCCTCCTGAGTAGTTGGGACTACAAGTGTGCGCCGCCATGCCCAGCTTATTTTTGTATTTTTAGTAGAGACAAGGTTTCACCATATTGGCCAGGCTGGTCTCGAACTCCTGACCTCAAGTGATCTCACCCCCTTGGCCTCCCAAAGTGCTGGGATTACAGGCATGAGCCACCACGCCTGGTCCCAGCTCATTACATTTTATAGCCAGTGTTGAGAAACTGGAGGCCAAATCACTGGTTTTTAAAAATCTGGGATGCATCAGCATTTGCTGCTCTTGAGGCTTCAGACACCCAGGCCCACCCAGATCTTCTGAGTTAGAATTTCCTTGGTGTGTGGTGGGGCTGGACATGAGTACGTTTAACAAGCTCCCAAGGTGATGCTGACATACCAAAGCTTCAGAACTGGAATCAATGGCCTCTGAGGTCTCTTTCAGCTCTGATTCTGAGGTCCTCCCAGTCAATGATTTCTTTCTTTCTCTCCACGCTGGAGCTGCCCGTTGGTGGTAAGCAGAGACGTCATCAGCTTGCAAGCTGAGCTTCAGTGTCCCCTGAGAATGCAGCCAGCTGGCAACGGTAGAGGAAAGTGGTGAACTCATTTGACTTTTCTTTATCAGCTGTACCATGTACATGATGTGCAAGAGGACTGGGGCTCTGTGTCAAGGCCAGCTGGGATGCTGAGGTTTTGTGTTAGGACCAAGGGCAAGTCTGATGGCTGTTCTGGTTTGCCCTGCTTCATGCCATGGCCTAAAGGTGAGTATTAGCCACAGGGTGCTACTGCCTGGACCCCACCCCCAAACCCACTGGAATGAGAAAGATGAGCCTTAGATTAGATGCAAATTTACCCACCCAACTTTGTCTCTCTGGGTCAGCCCCCACGGTAGGCTAGATGGATACCTTGACTGCCAGGAGAACCCAGGGCTGGGCTAAGGAACTGAGAGGCAGGCTCAGAGCAGGCTCCATGCTGAGCTCTGACTCTGCCCTGTCTTAGAGAGGCCATACTGGTATCTCCTTTCCTCCATGCGGCATGTGGCGATTTAATGGCAGTGAAATTTATTGTGGGTAATGGAGCGTCAAGCTCCTTATTGCTAATGGATGATTTCAAATGTGGAGAAAGATTTATTAAATAAGTCAAGCATATGCCTCCAAGAGAATATTACTGTGAGTGAAAACAATTATATAGTTAAACAAGGAGGAAAGAAAATTTAAATGCATCTTTAAAGGTTTCTTTAAATCAGTTTAACTGTGTGATTTTTAAAAGATGGGGGGGATTAGTTTCAGCAAATTACTTATTAAAAAAATTTTTTTTTGACTCAACAGGAAACTAACAGCCCTACTTGGCTTCCTTTTAAAGAAGTTACTTATTGGTATTTGAAAAAGAAGGGAAAAAAAAGTTAAGGAAGTGACTTTGGTAGCCTCTTGCGGTTCTCATGTTCTGATTTCTTTGGTGTACACTGAGCTCTCCCTGGGGCAGAAGGAAGGGGTCAGGGAAGCAGCAGCCAGAACTGTCATTCAGAGAGGAGGATCAGGGATGTCTAACTGGTATTAGACAATGCATCAGAGCTTTAGAGTTGGAAGCAACTTTGGAGGACATTTGGACAATTTCCTTGTGCATGCGGAGAAGCTAAGGTCCAGAGAAGAAAAGGAACTTTTCCAAGAATCCACAGGTGGTAGATTGCAAAGCTAGAAGCCAGGCTTTGCCATTGCTCTCTCCATGCAATGGGAATAATATTTATCTCAGGGGTGTCTGGAGGATATAAGAACCTAGGGAAAGTACTTTGGAAAGTATACATGCTTAGTTCCTGGAAGGGATTGTATGTAGAAGAGATTGGCTGCGAGCCTCCATGGTGGGTCCATTTTTGTGAGGGGCCTTCCCCCTATCCTTGGCCACTTCAGCAGTTCTGCAGCCAGGACTGTGGCTGGCTGAGGTTCCACACCTCTCTCCCGCACCAAGCTGAGGAGAGGCACAGGCAGCCACAAGCCTCTGACATTTTCCTTGAGATGGTGACAGCTGGTAAGACTTTTGACTAAAGGAATAAAGAGCAAGCAGGCAAAAAAAAGTTACTGTGTTAAAAGTGGTTTAAAAATGTTCTTCACCATCTGTTTGGCCACCCTGGTTTTTTGGGGCATGTGTAGGGGGAGAGACCTCTCCTCTCCCGCTCCTGAGCTTCACCTCGGTCAGGACCGACTATGAGAAGCTTTAGCGTGTCTCCAGGCTTTGTTTTCCATTTTCCTCAAATTTTCTTTCTGCTGCCTTCCCTTTGCTTCCAATGCATGCAATGCATTCTGCTTCTGGAAAAGTTATTTTCTTAATTGCTAATGAAATACCGAACCTGCAAAGCCTGGCACATTTGGATCAACAGGCAGGTGTTTGATTTTGGCCTTTGCTATCTGAGCTTGGTTCTGTTGGAAGGGAAATAGAACCTAAAAAGCAGGTATTGAAAGACACATTTTGAATGTCCTCACTCACATGTGGGAGCTAAAAATTAAAACAATTGAACTCATGGAGATAGAGAGTAGAATGATGGTTACCAGAGGCTGGCTTGGGCAGCGGGGAGCAGGGGAAAAGTGGGGATGATTAATGGGTGCAAAAATATAGTTAAATAGAATGAATTTGTGCTAGTATTTGATAGCACAACAGGCTGACTATAGTCAACAGTAATTTATTGTGTATTTAGAAATAACTAAAATAGTGGAATTGGAATGTTTCTAACACAAATAACTGACAGATGCTTGAGGTGATGGACACCCCAATTACCCCGATGTGATTATTACACATTGCGTGCCTACATCAAAACATTACATGTACCCCATAAATATATACATCTACTATGTCCCATAATAATTAAGAATTTTAAAATAAAATACCATTTGAAGCAAAATAATAAGAAAAACTAAAAAGCAAAACAAACAAAACCAGGTATTTAAGCTCTACTCCACCTAGTAACATCACAACCAGGTTTCCCTTCACATCCTAACTCTTTATACCACTTCTGCTGACATTTCTTATGAAATTTGCCTGAGGTATTTTTCAGGTTTTTTTTTCCTTTTGTGAATAGGGTCATAAAATATATATTCTACATAGTCATTGCTGTGGTACATTAAAATTATTAATTTTGTGTGTTGATTTTATATCTAGTCAACTTGTTTAACTCACATTTGGTTCTTGTGGATTTTTCTGACAGATGGTTATACTGACTGCATATACTAACAGTTTTGTCTCTTTCTCTTCAGAGTTACATTTCTTATTTTCTTCTCTTGTCTTTACGTAAGCTTTCAGAGCAATATTGAAAAGTAATAGTGATTATAGACATCTTTACCTGGTTTCTGATTTTAAAAGGATTGTTTCTGATATTTTACCATAACTACGATGTACACTGTGGGTCTATTGTATAAAAACATTACAAGTTGAATTTGTTGTTTTAATCAGAAATTGTTGTTAAATTACATTAAATTTTAGCATCAGTTGACAGTATCTATTGAGATGATTTTACTCTAGTGAGGAACATCAATTGCTTTCTAATGTTGGACTATTCTTCCGTTTTTTGCTCCTAATACCTTATTAGTTTTGACTTTCTAATACTTTAGATAGAATTTTTGTATCTTTGCTCATAAACAATATTGGCTTGTTCCTTTCATCCATGTTTTCCTTGCCCACTTTTGGTATTTGGTTATGGTAGCCACATGGAACGAGTTAGAGTAGTTTTTATCTTCTTCCATGCCCTGCATAGTATATCACATGGGATTATGGATTTTTTGAATGTTTGCTAGAACTTGACCATAAACTTTCTTACTCTGGTGCACTTTAGTGGGGGTAGATCTTAAATTACTATTTTAATTTTTATATGATTATTGGTCTTCCATGATTTTCTTCTTGAACCAATTGTTGACATTTATTATTTATTGTTTATTGTGATTTATTGTTTCCCAGGAAATTATTCATTCATTAGATTTTGAAATGTTTTGGTCTAAATTCTCTTTAATTTGAAATGTGCTTTGTATACTATGTCTCTATTACTTCTTAATGTTGTTATTTTTGTGACCATTACTCACTCTATTCTCACACTCGGTCTTGCCACAGGCTGTTCTAATTTATTGATAGTTTCAAAGAAACAGCTTTTAGTTTTATTGATCTATACTATTGATTTTTTTGTGTTCTAGTTAATTTTTGCATTTTATCTTTATTAATATCTTCCTCTAATTTCACTGAGCTTATTTTGTTTTTCTCTTTCTAACTTCTTGAACTGAAGAGCTTATTGACTTTGCTTTCATTTTTTCCTCATTTCTAAGAACTTTATTTGAGACTATAAATTTTCATGAATTAGGTATATATCTCAGGTTTTTGATATATGGCCTCTCCTTGTTATTCATTTCTAAATAGTAATACTTTTTTCTTTGCTAACCTAAGAGTTATTTTCAAAGTATTTAGCATGCTCAGGTGCATAGAATTATTTGGCCATTTTTTGTTATTAATTTCTAATTTTATTACATTTTGTCCCAGATGGTAACCTGTCTGACTTCTTTCTAATGAAGTTGTTGAGGTTTCCTTTGTGGCCTACTACGTGAGTAATTTTTTTTGAATGCTCCATGTGTGACTGAAAATAATGAAGTCTCCTCTTCTTAACATCTATGTCTATTAGATCACACTGTAAAATTTTAATATGTATGTTCTTCAGACTCTCTCTAACTGTCCCTGATCCACAGCTATTTGATTGGGTGATTTCTGAGAGATGAATAATAAGGTCTCTTACCATGATTGTAGATTAACACTTTCTCTGTGTATATCCTTCAGTTTTTGCTTTCTGTATTGAAGCTAAGTTATTGGGTGCATAAAAGTTCATGGCTGAGATATCGTCTCTATTGATGTTATATTTTATCAACATGGATACTCCATCCCCCTACTTTCTTTCATTGTTCTTTGCCTTGAGCTCTATTTTGTTTGATATTATTACAACTTGGCTTTCTTTTTCTTAGAATTCGCACAACATAGCTATTTCCAGTATTCTATTTTTAACCTCTCTGTCTCATTTTGCTTTAGGTGTATCTTACAAGCAGCATGTATCTGGATGTTAGTTTCTAAATCTAAGATTTTCCATTTAAATGACTTCTCATTTCATTTTTTCTTCTATAATAGTTGGAAATTATTCAACCTATTTTTTATTGCTAATGCATAGATTGATGCATTGATGCATTTTAAGAGACATATTGATATTTAGAGTCAATCACTTCCTAAATCCTCCCAGCAAAAAATATTAAAAACTTTTATTTCTTTACTGCTTACTTTCTCCTATTACTCTCTTTCTTCCCCAGCCTCCAGAACTGTGAGGACATAAATTTCCATTGTTTAAACTCCCCAGTCTGTGGTATTTTGCTATGGCAGCCAAAGTTGATTAATCTGTTTTGTTCGTTGGAAGAATTTTCTCTTCTTCCTTGTAAATGTTTCCAAAAAAAGCTTAAGTGTGGGTCTTTTTTTTTTTTTTTTTTTTTTTTTTTGAGATGGAGTCTCGCTGTCTCCCAGGCTGGAGTGTAGTTTGTGGCGCAATCCTGGCTCACTGCAAGCTCCACCTCCCAGGTTCATGCCATTCTCCTGCCTCAGCCTCCTGAGTAGCTGGGACTACAGGCGCCCACCACCACGCCTGGCTAATTTTTTGTATTTTTAGTAGAGATGGGGTTTTACCGTGTTAGCCAGGATGGTCTCGATCTCCTGTCCTCGTGATCCATCTGCCTTGGCCTTCCAAAGTGCTGGGATTACAGGCTTGAGCCACCCGTGCCCGGCCAAGTGTGGGTCTTTTTATTTACTTACTCTGCAGTTGATAGATCCATTCAATCTAAAGACTTCTATCTTTTTTTTCAATCTAAAGACTTCCATCGTTTTTTGGGTTTTTTTTTCTTTGCCTCAATTATTTCTTCTCCTTCATGCCTCTTATTTCCAATTTCTGGAATTCCTGTTAAATGGATTTTCATGCTGTTGGAATTATTTTCCATTTCTCTTTCATTTTTTCTTAACTTCCATCTGTGTTTCCTTGTGTGTTCTGTTTCTGGGAAAAGTCCTTGGTTGAATCTTCCAGTTCAGTCATTTTCTCTTAGTTTTTATCTATTCTGATATTCAGTTCATATATTGATTTTTTAAAATTTCAGTACTCAAGTTTGTAATTTCCAAGACCTTCATCTGATAATTTTGTATGTGTGCTACATTCCCTTGCATGAGAATACTAATTAGACTTTTATAAAGTATTTTCTTATTGATTCTATTCTTTCCATGGGGATGTAGTTCTTCAGTTTGTTAAATTTAGTTCTTCATGTCCAATTTAGTCTTCAGATGGTTAAATTTAGGACTTTTCTTTCACGAGGTTGATTTTCTTCAGAACCCCAACCAATCATCCTGTCAATCATCCTTGGGTGCTCCTGCTGCCTTGGACATTGGTGCTCCTCCATTTCTTGTAGCAGGTCTCTCCTTTGTGCTATTGGGATGTGGTTTCTTTCTTCAGTCTTCTCCATCTGCCTTTCCCCTTTCAGGCATTCCTAACTTTTTCATCTACTGTGGGTACCCCTTCTTTTTTTCCTACACTGTTATGGATTTTTATTATTATATGTTGTTATATTCTTACTTATATGCTGTATTGGTTATATTATATTTTATTTATATTATTGTTATCATCAATGTTTATTATTATTATTATTTCTTTTTTTCCAGGAGTTTAGGATAAGAAGGGGAATGTGGAGATTGTGCCTGGTTTACTATTTTTATCCAGCCTCCTCAACTTTGTATGTATTGAGGATTGATGTCTTAAACTACACTTCCAAAGATGAGGGTGAGTTGTTTGACAAGAATTTACCAGGGTTGGGTCTGCCCCTTGAGTCTGGCCAACAGCTGACTCACAGTCCATGGTTCCATTGGTGGCATACTTCCACCGGGAATTCCCTTTGTGTTTATTTTCATTGTCAAGATGTTCTTATCCTGCCTCACCTCTGGTTGGAAAGCTTGGGAACTCAGATGGATTTGCCATTTGCTGACCAGCCTTGAATTATTAGTGCAGGAGAAGAGATGGACATAAAGAAATCAGCCTGCTTCTTTGTGTCTGGCATGAGGGGATGTGGTGGGCATTGTGATGTGCCACCTAGATCAGCTTCTAGGAATGAAGGACATATTTCCCCAACTGCTGGCAGTGGTACAGCTTGCAGCTATCTCCCCTTTGGGGATTGCCTCAGATAAAAGAATGGTTTTGCCCCTGGCGGCCAGCAGCCCACTTTCTCAGCCTTCTGCCCCAACTCAGGCAGTTCCGAAGGATCACCTCATCTTCAGAACTCCCCATGCTTCTCTGGCACTGCATTGCAGCTCACTGTCTCCCTCTTCCCAGTCTGCCTCCTCCCCTTCATTACGCTGGCAGTGACCCCAAGATCAACACCCTAATAAACCTCATGCCTGCTAAACTTCATCTCAGGGTCTGCTTCCTGTGGATCCCAACCTATGATTGAGCATTTACTGAGAATTATTACGTGTATCAGAGCAAAGCACTATTGTGGCTATATTTGGCTACAGAAACCTTTAAACCTGCCCTGGGATTGGGGAAAGGAGCTGCATATGGCCAGCCAGAAAGTATGGGGAGGCAACGGCCCCTTACACATGTATTTTGATTTGCCCACCCAAATCCGCTCCTTCTGCAACTGTCCCCAACTCAGAAAATGGCAACTACATCTATTCAGTCAGTCAAGACAAAAATCTTGGAGTCATTTCTGACCTCAAACTCTAACACCACATTAATCTGATTCATCAAGGAATCTGCTTAGCTTTACCATCCAAATTGATCCTAAATTTGACCCTTTCTCACCACCTGGAATGCCAACCCCTAGGTCCCAGCCACCATCACCATCCCTAGCTTGGATTACAGCAATTGTCACTGTGAAAGGAAAATAAAATCTTGGGACCCTCAACTCAGCATGTCAAGGGAAAAGTTAAGCTTGGAAACCAAATCATGCAAAAAACTTGCCTTTTCTTTTGTTCATAAATAGATAGCTACAAGATAGAAGGCCACAAATTTCCCCAGGGGGCCTCCCTCACCCTGACAATGTAAATTAACAGCTTATCTTTATGGTACAGGACAAGAGGAGACTAGAAATTTTACCCCCCTTCCACCGCCTACCCCGAGATGAATTTATATTCGACTTCTTCCTGTACTGTGTTTACTTTATCTTATGTAAAGTGCAGATTAACTGAGCGTGAGACGGATGCATAATTGACTGTTCCTCTGCCCCCTCCTTTTCACATGAAACATGTGGATTCAGTGAGTGCTAATCAAAGCCTCAGAAAAATGTGACCATATCCTCCCTCTTTTTTTTCCCTCCTTTCTCGGCCTGCCCATCTTTTCCCTGTTAAATATTGAAGCCCTTAAAATCATCCTTGGAAAAAGTATGAGCCACAGATCCTATTGTGGCTTGTGTCTCTTTATCCCAGGCACGTCCTCAACCTGGGCAAAATCAACCTCTAAATTGATCGACATCACTTCTTCTTTTACATTTTCTTTTTCTTTTTTCTTTTTTTTTGGTTTATACCACCTAATCAGGCTCTCAGGTTCCAAACTCTTAGCTCCTACAATCTATTCTCAACACAGCAGTGAAAAGGATCTTTTAAAACCAAAGTCCATTCGTGTGTCTCCTTGGCTCAGCGCTCTCCAATATTTTCCATCCCATTTTAATCAAAACTCCCAGCCCTTCCATGGCCCCCAAGGCTGTTTATGACCTGGCCCTCCCCTGCTGTCCTGCTGACCTTTCCTACCACTATGTCCCCTTTGCTCACTCCAGTCCATGGCAAGCTTGTTCCTGACCTACTTGAAGTTCTCCCTGCTGAAAATGCCCAGATATCTTCATGGCTCCTCCCCTCACTTCCTTCAACTTCCATTTCAAATGTGATCTTATCTGAGACCTTCCTTCACTACCCAATCAATGACACTAACTTCCTCTCCCTACAACCCCAACTTTGGCACTAACCATCTCCCTCGCCATGTTTATTTTTTCTCATAACACTTATCACCATGCAATGGATTTCCTTGTTTATTTAGTGTATTCCTCCCCCAAGCAGAATGGAAGCTTTATGAGAAGTGTTTTGTTCACTTTATTCCTAACATCCAGAACAGTACTTAGCACAGAGTGAGTGCTAAATAAATGTTTGTCAATAAATGAAATTTTAATTCCCTGGACTGTTTAGGAGCATCTCAGATGGGAAAATTGCCTAAGGACAGATAATATTCTTCATTCTGCTGCTTACTTGCCTAATGACCTTCCATAAGCCCCTTTTCGTATCAGGCTATCAGGAAGCTGAGGGGGTGGGACAAGATGATCACTCAGTGTCTCTTCTCCATCTGATCTTTTGCTGAAATTGTGATTTGTTTGATGCAAACAACCTGGTGTGACATTACTGCAACTGTTTTTCTATTGCTTAAGTGAATTCTAAATGAAGCCCAGCTCTAACTTCCCCGGGGTCCCTCCCAGGTGTCATCCCACCTGCAGGGAGTGGCCCCAAGTACTTGGCTCTCTTTCCATTTTAACCTTCCCATGCCCCTCCTGTGTTCTGTGACTTGCTTTGGCCTCACATTGGGCAGATTGTATGTCATTGCCCTTTGCTCTGGTCAATGGGATGTGAGCAGATGTGAAGTCAGCAGCAGCTTGAAATAGACTTGAGTGGTGAGCTTGTCCTCTTGGGCTTCTTCCATCACAATAAGAGAAACACGTCTTGGCTAACCTGGTGGTCCAAGAACTGAGGGATGCCTGGAGTACCTGGATCAAACCAAAGGCCAGAGCCAAACTCAGCTGAGCCCAAGTGAGATCAGCAGAGCTGCCCCCGTTAACCCACATATGTATGAGTGAGAATAACTGAATGCTGTAAGCACTGAGTACTGGGGTGCTTTGTTATGTGGCATTCTTATGGCAATAGCTGACTGATACACCAATCTTCCAAAACTCAACCCAAGGTACACACTCTTCCAGAAAACATTCCCTAAGCCCAAGGGCATGGCCTAACAGTGAGAATTTCAGGTATGTTTCAGGTTAGTGAGGTCAGCTGCTCATAGGAACTGAGAGACTGCAACAGAAAGGAGGAAAAATGGGCAGCCAATATTGCTCAGTTTTGCTGTTTGATGACTCTGCAAACAGGAAGAACAAGGATCGACAGGATTTATAGTACAAACTGATAGAATGGAGCTGGGGCTGGCTTTGTGCCTTGCAGCTTCTTTCCCATTTTTTTTTCACAAGGCTCCCCACCAGGACACAGGAGCTGGTAACCCTGCCCTTGGCCTGAAATGTGGTTTGACCTACAGCTTCTGGGTATATCAGACTGGGGCAGCAGGGCACTGTTATTCTGACAGTGAACATTACACCTTCCAAATGGACATTGCAGAAATTTAGAATTGAGTCTTGTCAAAACATCCTGGTTTGCATATTAGGAAAGTCAAGAGAGAAGTTACTTTATCTTCTTTCTAACCCGATGAAAAGATTTTTAAGGGACTTTACTGCAATCATGTTTCTATTGCTTAAATGAATTCCGAATGCTACTGTAAATTCCATTCATTATTTAAATAGCTTTACCTCCCTTAAGAGCCTAAGTGCCTTACAGGAAGGAAGGAGCTATCAAATCCATGCAGGGTGGGGAATTGCTCAGGAGGGTCAAATCCTGGGGCATAGGGAGAGGGACTGTAGTGTTCATGATGGGTCTGTAGGGAGGCCGATCAAGAGCCTGACTGAGTGATAGTAGGAGCTGGGAGAATTGCTAAGATCATCTGGGACTAGGATGCTTTCCTATCTTTCCTGGTCCTAAGAGTTTTCTGAATCGCTTGTTAAAAATAGATCTGCAGACCCTTCCCCTGGAGATTCTATTTTAGCAGACCTGACGTGGAGTCCAGAATTCCATACTTTCAAGAAAGACCGCAGATGATTTTGACAACTAGACATGTGTGGAAAATACTGATCTATCAAGCTGCCTTGTTTATAGGTGAATAAATTGAGTCCCAAGGAAGGGTTAGTGCTAGAGGTTAGCGTTAGTCCCCAGTTAGTGCTAGAGCTAAATCCAGAACAGGATCACTGAGACCCGAATGGCAGATTTAGGATGCCCAATTTGCAGCTGTGCTGCTGGGACTGGCCGTATAGTCTGCAGGTCTGCTGGTCCCTTGGTACCTTTGTTTAGCTGCTCACTTTCTGTAAGAACAGCTGAAGGCAGCGCTCCTGGAGTCAGACAGACCAGGTTCAAATTCTAACTTTGCTTCTGATTCACTGAACAACCTTGTGCAAATTGCTTAACTTTTCCAAGCCATTAATATGGGCATTAAATCAGATAATGTACCTACCCCTAATAGGTGCTCAATAAATGATTATTGCTTATGAAGTGCTAGACCCCATTCCAAGCTATTAATTTGGGCATTAAATCAGATAATGTACCTACCCCTAATAGGTGCTCAATAAATGATTATTGCTTATGAAGTGCTAGACCCCATTCCAAGCCAAAGAACTGGCCAGTATGAGTTCATTTAACAATAAAACAAGCCTATTATTAACCCCATTTTAAAATGAAGAAAGTTGAAGAAGAGAAAACTTGAGTGACCGGTTCAAATCACGCATATAGCAAGTGAGAAGCAGAGGCGGATTTGAACTCATGTAGTTTGTAGTCCCCCTTCTTTCCCTTGAGTATAGGGTCTGGGTCCCACTTACTCCAGCATGGGCCCTGGTGTAGGCCTTTGCACACAAGTAGATATCATTAAGTGCCTGATGAATGAGATTGAGATTTAAAGGCAGGACGAGAAATTCACTTCAAGTATGGCTGAGGGTGGGGTATCTGGAGAGGGCAGTAGGAGGCCCTAAGTAGAGAAGCTGTACCCAGGGAAGATGGGGCAGAGCCTGCAGGACCAATCCCTGGGAGTTAAGGACATTTTTCAGGCCGAACAGTTAGCGTTGAAATGCGCAAGAGCCTGGAAGTTTTTTTGCATTGTCGCCTGCAGTAAGGAAAAATCTAGACTGAACTGGCTGCTTGGATCAGAAGTGATGTAACGGGCTGGCTTTGGCCTAGTTTTCCTAAAGCAGACGGCCCCCTGGCTCTCCCACACCCTTTTTTCCAGAATTGGCAAGTGACAGCTACCGCCATCTAGTGGTCTGAGTGGCACTGCACAGGGATGGGGAAAAAAGGTTGGACCGCACTGCAGGGACTAGAAGATGCCCCTGGCTTCCCTCTCCCCAAAAATGAGAGCCCCCAATGGTGGTAGAGAGTTTATTCTGTTCAAAGCATGTTCTTACCTTTTACTTCATTAGATCTTCTCAACAATCCAGGAGGTCACCAGGGGCCATTAACTCCATTTTATGGGTGAGGCAAAAAGTCCCTGGAGGAGAGGGGTCTTGTTCAGAGTCGTACTGTCAGCTATTGATGGAACCAGGACTGGGACCCAAGTCTTCACAATACAATTTCTTAGCCCATAAGTAATACAGAGAGGTTGTCAGATCCCTTGAAGTCTCCTTGGACAGGAAATGGAAGATGATTTATCCTGGAGGTCTTGGTCACTTCTCTGCATGGAGGTGAGTCCCCTTCACCTCAATGACTTGCGATTTTTCCCTGGAAAGAGAATCCTCAGGTGGGATACCTGGGCTGATAATGCTCATATGGGAGGTTTCAGAAGAAGATGAATACTGCCCCTTCAGCTCTAGACCCTCTTACTGGATACTCAGTTAAAGCTTATCTGGTCCAGGCTCCTTGTATGAAAGATGGGGAAACTGAGTCTCAGAGAGGGAGAATGACTAGGCTGACATCACACTGTGGTTAAAGCCCTTCCTTTCCGGCCTGTCTTTCTGTTCTGTGTACTCTGGTATAATAGCTGGTGCCTGGAGCCTGCACTGTTTCAAACAGATATAACTGTTTTCAGCCCAGAGTGAAAATTGGACTCTAATGTCTCCCAAATTATATCACAAAGCTATGCAAAGGAAAAGAGAAGCTACTGGATATGTATGTTTGTTTTAGCATATTTTTAGCATTTGTAACATCAGTAATTCACAAACTTTTCAATGAAATCTTAGGCAGAATTTTGGTATGCAAAAGAGATTAATGTGGTGAGAATTGAGGAAGCTGACATTTACTGTGCCCCTGGGGATCTCTGTAATGCCAGAGAGAAAGGGATAACACGTTGAAAAACAAGGCATTGCATAAGGAGCACTGGCTGTGGAGTCCTAACACCTGGGCTTTAGTCCCTGCTCTGGCAAAAGCTTGCTCTGTGTGTGACCTTGGGAGTCGCTCCCTCATTCTGATCTCTCGCAGTTTACTCATTCGTACAATAATCCTGATCTTCCTACTGCCTGGGGTTGATGAGAAGATTACATGGAGGGAATAGGGGAATGGATGTGAAAATGGTTTGTAGAAAATAAAGTGCTACATTTATAAATGGTTTCTTTTTTAACTAAATTGAGGTAAAATTTATATACAATAGAAATGCGCAACTCTAAAATGTTCAATTTCATGAGTTTGGAAAATTGTAATCAGCTGTGAAACCATTATCCAAAATAAGCTACAAAGTATTTACATCCCTCCAGGAAGTTCTCTTGGGCTCATTTGTAGCCAACCTTCCAAGCCCGCAGGCAACCACTGTTCTGATTCCTATCACCTTAGCTTAGTTTTGTGTGTTCTAGAACTTGACATGGACAAAATCGCCCAGTATGTGCTATTATGTGCCTGGCTTCCTTTGCCCACTGTAATGTTTTTGAGATTCATCCAGGTTGTTTTTTCCTTTACTGCTGCAGAATAGTATTTTATTGTATGGACATACCACTATTTGTTTATCTATTTTACTATGGAAAACATTTGAGTTATTTCCAATTTTGGATATTATGATTAAGACTGCAATGAGCATCCTCTTCCACATTTTAAGTGCACATATGAACCCATTTCTGTTGAAATAGGAGTGGAATGTTGAAGCATACAATAGACACATGAGTAAATTTAGTAGAAGCTGCTGAATAGATATCCAAATGGCTGTACCATTTTACATTCCCAACAGTGACACACCAGAGTTCCAGATGGTTCATAGGTTCCACATTTTGTATTGTTAGAATAGCCATTCTGGTGAGCATAAAACGGTGTCTCACTGTAGTTAAAATTTGCATTGATGTTAAATACCATTTCTTATTAGCTATATGTGTATCTTCCCCTGTGAAGTATCTTTTAAGTTATTTGCCCAGTTTAAAAAAGGTAGCTTGCCATTTTATTGTTGATTTGTAGGAATTCTTTATGTGTTATACACAAGTCATTTGTCAGATATAAATGTGGCAAAAACCTCTCCCCATTTGTGTTTTTTACTATTCATTTTCTTAATGACGTCTTTTCATAAGTAGGGATTTTAAAATTTAAGTTCAAGTTACCTATTGTTTTCATTATGCTTCGTGATTTTAATGTCTGAAGAAATCTTTGTCTAATCTAAGAATGCAAAAGTATTCTTTTGTGTTTTATTCTAGAAGCTTTATGGTTTTCACTTTTATGCTTAGGTCTATGATCTGTCTTAATTTATGTTTGTGTATGGAATGAAGATAGAGTTGAAGTTCATTCATTTCCATATGGATTGTTTCAGCGCTTCTGTTAAAAACATTTTCTTTTCGCCAGTGAACTGACTTAACGCCTTGGAAGTTTATTTTTCAATTAAAAGGTCTAAAAAGAAATTTTATTTTAAAAGTATAAGATAGTACCATTGACTTTTGGAAGGATGTACTGTTCTATGACTTTTAACTCAGGTATAGGTTTGTGCAGCCACTGCTAGAATCAGAATATAGAACGATTTGATCACCCCAAGAAACTCCCTTATGCTATCTATGTGCCTGTTCTTTTGCTGACACCACACTATCTGGACTACTGAAGCTTTATAGGAAATCATACAATCAGGTAGTGTAAGTGCTCCAACTTTGTAATTCCTTTTTCAAAATTGTTTTGGCTATTCTAGTTCTTTTCCATGTCCATATAAATTCGAAAGTCCACTTGTCAATATTTAAAAAAAAATCCTCCTGGGATTTTTATTGGAATTGTGTTAAATATGTAGATCATTTTGGGAAGAACTGACATTGTAACTATGCTGAGTTTTGCAATCCATGAACATGGTGTATCTTTCCATTTATTGAGGTCTTCTTTAACCTCTTTCATAAGCATTTCTTATAGTTTTCAGCATACAGGTCTTATATATGTATTTCACTTTTTGGAGGGGTATTGTGAATGACATTGTTTTAAAATTTTGTTTTCCAATTATACATTGCTAATATATAGCAATATGATTGATTTTGTGTGTTGCCTTGCAATCTTGCTAAACTCAGGTATTAGTTTTAGAAGCTTTTATAGATTCCTTGGGATTTTCTGTATAGAACGCTATGTCATCTACAAATAGAAGGTTTTATTTCTTCTTTTCTAGTCTGTATGCCTTTTGATTCTTTTCTCTGCTTATTGCAAATAGCTAGGACTTCCTGTACAATATTAAAAAGGAGCAGTGAGAATTCATCCATGCCTTTCTCCCAATCTGATAAGAAAAACATTCATAATTTGCCATTAAGTAGAATGTTAGCTGTAGGCTTTTTACATTTGTTCTTTGTCAGATTGAGGATGTTTTCTTCTATTTCAAGTTTATGGAGAGGTTTTTTTTTTATCATGAATTGTTGCATTTTGTCAAATGCATTTTCTGGATTACGTATGATGATGTATTTTGCCTTTTAAAATTTTAATATAGTAGATTACATTGATTGATTTTTAAATATTGGATCAGCCTTATATTCCTGCTATAAATTCCACTTGGTTGTGTATGTGTTTTTTTAATTTGGTTGCTATTATTTTGCTGAGAAATTTTGCTTCTGTATTTATGAAGGATATTAGTCTGCAGTTTTCTATTTGTCGCTATTTTTGTATGTTTTTGGTATACAGGCTTCATGAAATGAGTTGGGTATATGTTTCCTTCACTTCTATTTTCTGAAAGAAATTGTGTAGAATTATTATTTTTTCTTCTTTAAATATTTTGTAGAATTTCTAGTAAAGGTATCAGGCCTGGAAATGACTTTTTTGAAAGGTTTTAAAAGATAGATTCAATTTTTAAAATAAGTATAGGACTATTTAGGTTATTCATTTCATCTTGGATGAGTTTTGTTTTTTGTGGTTTTCCAAGAATTGTTCAATTTTATCTAAGTTTTTGAATTTATATGTATTATGTTTGTAGTATTACCTTATTATTTTTAATGGCCACAGGACCTGTAGTGATATCTTCTCTTTCATTCCTGATATTAATCATTTGTATCTTATCTCTTCTTTCTCTGTCAGTCTTGCTAGACACATTTTGATTTTTCCAATTATTGAAAAAACACCTTTGACTTGATTAACTTTCTCCATAGCCTTTCAGGTTCAATTTCATTGATTCTGCATTACTTTTACTGCTTTCTTTCTCCTGGTTACTTTGGTTTTGTTTTACTCTTCTTTTTCTAGTTTCTTGTGGTGGAAGCCTAGATGGCTGATTTGAGATCTTTATTTTTCTTTTTTTCAGTTTTGTTTTTCTTTCTTTTTTAACCAATACTATAAATTTTCATCTAAGCACTATTTTAGAAGCACTTCACAAATTTTGATAGGCTGTATTTTTATTTTCATTCAGTTCAAATATTTTCTCATATTTCTTGGGGCTTCTTTTTTGACCTATGAATTATTTAGAAGTGTGTTGTTTAATATGTTAGCATTTAGATATTTTCCTCTTGTTTTTCTCTTACTGATTTCCAGTTTAATTCCATTATAGTTTGAGAACATACTTTGTATAATTTCCATTATTTTAAATTGGTTAAAGCTTGTTTTATGATCCAGGATCATGCTCTATCTTGGTGGATATTTAATATGCACTTGAAAAAAATTGAATGTTGCTTTTGTTGGATGAGGGTATTCCATAAATGTCAGTAAGGTCTTATTTGTTGATGGTGTTTTTCAGTTCATTCCTATCTAAGAGTAGGAGTTCCCTTTCCTACTTCTTGACCCAGAACTATACAGTGTCTCCTAGAGCTCTCTATTTATGTTAATGACCACATCAGGGTGTCAGGGGGCCATGTCATCTTCTGGTCCTAGAATAACAGAGGGGAAAAAATAATTCATAACTTCAATAGAACTTTGAGTTCTGGTCTTACTTCCCTATCTACCTGTTAGTATTTACTATACAGAGTCCTCAGAACAGTGCACATATTTAGTCCAGGTTTTAAAGTTGATTTTTCTTTGGGGAACTACCCCTTTGTACTCTTAGTTCATGAGATGTGAGTGGGGTGGACCTCAACCCTACTTCCATGTGCTCTGATCTGATCAGTTAATGTATTCTATCCCAAAGCTGCAATGATTGGTTGAGGACTGAGCATGTGATTTAAATTGTACAAGGGTCATTTCTGATACTTTTGTGGGAACTAGTAGGAAACAGAATTTCTCTTCACTGGGGTTATTTACCTATGGGGATGAAATCTTGTTACAGCTTGAGAAGAGTTTGCCTGAGAGTAAAAGGGCACATTGAGGAAAGTGAGCTAGAAAAGAGAAAGACAAACTCCTAATCAGCTTGCCAAAGCACATAGATCCAGCCATTCCTGAAACTAGTAATCATCTCCCACATTCTAGACTTTTCAGGTACATGAACAACACAAAACAAAACAAATTAACAACAACCCCCCACCCCACTTCCTCTGCATTAGCCAGTATCAGTTGGTGTTTCTGCCACTTAATATTAAAAGTCTTAATACATATCTACATATATATATATGTGTATATATATATATGTGTGTGTATATATATATGTGTGTATATATATATATATATATATATATATATATATTTTTTTTTTTTTTTTTTGAGATGGAGTCTCACTCTCTCCCCCAGGCTGGAGTGCAGTGGCATGGTCTTGGCTCACTGCAAGCTCTGCCCCCGGGTTCACACCATTCTCCTGCCTCAGCCTTCCAAGTAGCTGGGACTATAGGCACCCGCCACCATACCCAGATAATTTTTTGTATTTTTAGTAGAGACGGGGTTTCACTGTGTTAGCCAGGATGGTCTTGATCTCCTGACCTTGTGATCCACCCACCTTGGCCTCCCAACATATCTACATATCTTAAGTTTCCTTTCATCTTCCTTAAGTTCCTTAGTCAGAATCTAGGGAACCATTGCCCCCTTAAGCCCTAGGGCAGCATCCCCTTCCTTGAGAGAGCAATTAGCTGATTTCATGGTTCTCCAAACAGAAATGGTTGTCCTTAGAGAATCTCAGCATGAAAAATGGGCAGAGAAGCTGGGTCTCAGTATGGAGCCAGAGAGCATGTTTGCAAGTCTGCATCTGCTGGCTACATTAATGTGCAAATCAGGCTGTGGGCCAGAGTTTATTTTTAATAATTAGAAGCCCATCTTACTTTGGAAATGTGCTGCAGCTTCCTGTGACGAAAGGGAAAAGATGGTTCATCCCTTCTTTCCCTCGATCCATGGAATCTACATTTCTGGAAACTTAGAGATGACATAGCTTATTCACTTGTGGAACTCAGTATTCGAGGAGGAGAAAATTGTTGTGGGTAGAAAAAAAGATGATTTTTAAAAATGGGAAAGGAAAAGTATCTATTTCTCTATAGTATTTGGCAAATTTTGCTAAAATTTCTCAGGATCCCAAACTAGGGGGTAGATAACATTTTTGGCACATAGATGAGGCAGGTGCCTGGCATGGTTGTCAAGAGCATGGAATCTTACAACCACAAGACAGTAAGCTTGTAGCCCAATATTTTGCCAATGGAGAGAAAGAGGACCCTTTTGGGAAAGGGCCCTGTCCAAGGTCAGGCTGATAATTAACATAAAGAGAAGAATTATGAAGAAGGTGCGTGGGCTCCTTCTGTGTCCCAAAGGCTTCCACCATAGCCCACACCATCCAGACTCACAACTTTCCTACATTTCCAGAAGTGCCTCTTTGCAGGCGTCCCAGTTGTGAGTATGATATGCCCACTTGGCTTGGCCATCCGCCACCTGTTTGTCACTCAGCCAACTGGCAGTCCCCATCCCCATGTTTTTTTTGGTTTTGTTTTGGCATAGCTGAATTTCACCAGGCAAAGTGTGAGGTGTAGAACGCAACCAGAAGCATGCCACTTGCTGCGGGCAATGGAATGTGAGTGGAAGTCACATGTCACTTCAGGATGGAGGCCTTTAGGTAAGCCTGCCTCACTGCTTTATCATCAACAAGGGTTGGTGCTGAGAAGGCCTTGAAGCACAATCTGTCCCTGCCCTCCAGGAGAGTTCATGGCCCAGCGAGGGAGGCAGATATGGAAGCAGTCATCATGCAAGGTGATTGGGGTTGGGCCAATGCTATGTCTCAGCAGGAGGGGCCAACAAAGGGTGGAGACAGCTCTGCTGGGGGAAGGGGTTAGAGAAGGCTTTACTAAAATGCACAGATCTTGAGGTGGGTCTTGAAGGACATGTTAAGTTCTCCAGGTAGGCAAAGCACATACGGAAATCCCAGGTGAGAGAACTACCCTCTCTGCTTTCTTTTCTTGTGGTATTTGTCTTACTCTGCTCTTCGTGATAGTATCATGTATCTGCCTGGTCTCTTGTAGCCCATTTGCTGTTGTACTTAACATCTGTGTGCCTCAGTTTCCTCATCTGTCAAGGGAGTATAATTATAATGCTCCCTCACCAGAGTTGTTTTCAGGATTAAATTGTTTAAGGTGTATGGATATATATGAAGCATATGAGATGATGTCTTACACATGGTAAACACTTGGTAAATGCTACAGTACAATACTTTATATTTAATAGATACTCAAAAAATGTTTTCCTCATTGAAGTGCTCCTCAACTTCGTGTGACCCCTGTCACCTAAAATAAAAACTATTTTGGCTGGTGGAAGCTACTAGCAGCCTAATGTCTACTCTCAAAAAGCATCCCTCCACTGAATTAGCTAATCCTCTGATCTGTATTGGTATCACTCAGTGATTAGCAGGGATTAGAGGAGCACCTACTACTAAAAGTCAGGGAGATACAAAAAAAGATTGGACTAAGAACTGGCCCTCAGACTTAGTGGCCAGCTGGAGAAACCCGGTGTATGCTTGGGTCCAACAGAAAAGATACACCATAGGATGATCCCACTTTGCAGCATGTAGATGCTTTGATATAAAGAGCATCATGGCCAGAAGGGTGTGGGAGGAGAAGTATCTGACTGGGCAGAGATCTTAGAGGATCCTCAAATGGATTTTCCAGTAAGTGCTCCATACGAACACACACGGGAGGAGAAGACGTGGGATTGCAGAGCTGCAAAGATGGCATTGTGCAAGGCAAACCCCAGGTCTCTTTATGAATTCTTTCTCTTCCATTAATTCTTTGAGGCATGGAAAGTAGATTTCCAAGTATCATGGGAAGTTAGGCATGCTGCTGAGGATGGTCCAGAAATAACAGCATGGCTACTGGAGTGTTGGGAAGATTGGAGGTGACAGAGGATCCAAGGAGGAGTGAGAGTTGAAGCACCACATCAGAGAATGCCGAACTGAAGTCAGGAGGAAGAAAGGCCTGAGAACATGGGCTCATGGGCTCCCTACTTTGGGGACTGTTAAAGACCCATCTACAGATTGGAATATTGGCAGCAATGGAAATTTCAGCTTTTGTGTGCCATCTCTTTGACTCAATGTTTTTATATGTTGCTTCCTGTTTATTAACTTCTATTTCTTATAACTTTGTGATGAGACAGTTGGAAGGCATGCCTGTCTCTCATACTGTATACATTGCCAGAAGGACTAGGTGGAGTGTGTATGGAAGAAAGAATATGCCAAAAAAAAAAAGCATTAGTGAATGAAACATCACCAGGAGAGTTCATAGAAGAATGCACTGGCAAAGAAGTTACACACAGACATCTACCCAGAGAGAATCTGAGGTTGACTATAAATAAAGTTTAAAAATGGTATAGAACTCAGAGTGAAAAGGAGTGTGGTGGAAGGCTTGTAGGAAGAGGTGGTTCTTTACTGGGCCTTGAAGGATGGTTGGACTTTGGATATATGGAAGGAGAAGAAATCATATTCTAAGATGGATGTGATGATTAATTTTACGTGTCAACTTGACTGGGCCATGGGGTGCCCAGATATTTGGCCAAATATTATTCTGGCTGTGTCAGTGAGGCTGTTTTTAGATGAGATTAACACTTGAATCAATAGCCTGAGTAAAGCAGATTGCCCTTCCTAATGTGGGTGGCCCTCATCCAATCAGTTGAAAGCTGAAATAGAACAGAAAGGCTGACTCTCCCACAGATAAGAAGAAACTCTTTCTGCCTGTTTTGAGCTGGGATATCTTTTTTTATTCCACCTTTTGGACTCAAATTGAAACATTAGACCAGGCACAGTGAGTGGCTCATGCCTGTAATCCCAGCACATTGGGAGGCCAAGGCGGGTGGATCACCTAAGGTTGGGAGTTCAACACCAGCCTGGCCAACACTGTGAAACTCCATCTCTACTAAAAATACAAAAATTAGCCAAGCGTGGTGGTGCACACCTGTAATCCCAGCTACTCAGGTGCCTGAGGCACAAGAATGGCTTGAACTCAGGAGGTGGAGGTTGCAGTGAGCTGAGATCACACCACTGTACTCTAGCCTGAGTGACAGAGTGAGACTCTGTCTCAAAAAAACAAAACAAAACAAAACAAAAAAACCCAAAACAAAAAACACGGGTTCTTCTTGGGTCTCTAGGCTGCCAACTTTCAAACTAAAACTTACACCAGTAACTCTCCCGTCTCAGGCCCTGCGCTTAGACTGGAGCTACACATGGGCTCTCTGGGGCCCCCAGATTGCTGACTGCAGACCTTGGGACTTCACAGCTTCCATAGTCACACAAGGCAGTATCTTATAATTTCTCTCTCTTCCTCTCTTGACACACATGCATGCATGTGCACATGCACACGCACACACACACACACACACACCCCACACAATTTCTTGGTTTCTATTGGTTCTATTTCTCTGGATAATCCTGACTAATAGAATGAAGAATATAACTTTTGAGGCAAAGTCATAGTAAATTAACCCTTACTGAGAATCTACTATGGGTCAAGCACTTTATGCATAATCTCATTTAATCCCTATCCCCATGCAGTGGGAAACATTTCTAAGTCCAGTCCGTGGATCAATATTGTACTGATATTAAATTAATAGATATTTACTGAGCACCTACTATGGTCCAGAGACTTCTCCATTCCACGTGATGACACATTTCACATATTTATTTATTTATTTAATCAACAAATACTAACTGAATGTCTACTGAATGCTTGGAATGCATCAGTGAACAAAACAATAATATACATTCTCTTGAAATTTACATTTTAGTGAGGAAAGGCAGAACAATAATGCTAGCTATAACAAATAATTAATTATACAATACATTAGAAGGTGATAAATACTCTAAAAGTGTTGATAGAGTAAAGGGGATTAAACACATTGAGGTTGGGGTTGGATTGCAATTTTAAATAGGACAGTCAAGGAAACCCCACTATAAAGGTAAAATTTGAGCAAAGTATTGAGAAGGAGATGTATGAGTGAGCAAATCAGAGAGCAGGAACAACAAGTGCAAGGGCCCTGAGACAAGAACCCTTGGTACATTGGAGGAACAGCAAGAAGGCTGGTGTGGGTGGATGAGAATGAATAAGAGGAGATGATAGGAGGAGGTGGGGTCAAGGGTTACGAAAGAGAGGTCATAGTATGTAGGCCTTTGTAGACCATTGCAAAGAATGTGGTTTTAGTCTTTGCTGTGTATTTTGCAGATGATGACCTATTCTGTTTTACATTATAACAGAATCACTCTGGCTGCTGTGTTTCAGTGGTCCAGGTGAGAGATGGTGGTGGCTGGAACCAGGGTAGTAGCAGTGGAGGTAAAATAAGTGAACAGATTCTAGATATGTGTATATATGTATATACATATGTGTCATGTATATGTATATACATATAGTAACAGCTTTAGTGAGATAATTCACCCACTTAAAGTATACAATTCAGGTAAGACTCTAAGGCTTTTGAACTGAGAAACCAGAAACATGGAATTTTCACCAACTAAGATGGAGGAAGAGAGCAGATTCATTGGAAGGGAAGGGCAATAGTTTAGTTTGGGATATGTTAAATCTACACCCAATTGCTAATGAGGGAAATCTGGGAATTATCCCTTACTCTTCCCATTTCTTTATCACTACTATCCCAAATCCCTACATCTGATCTATCAACAAGTCAGATCACTTCTACCTCGAAAGGGTATCTTGAGTAAGTCCATTTCCATCAGAAAGTGCTTATGAGATATCCCATGTCCTCCCCGCCATTTCCCATTCTCCTTTGCAGTTAGAATGGAGTCATGTGACTGGTTCTGGCCAATGAGCTGTGAAGAGAAGTGACACATGACACTTCCTGGTCAAAACAGTTAAGAACCCATGACGTGCCTCCTTCATCTCTCTCTTTCCCTGATAGGCCTTGAAGGCCATGTATTCCAAATGGTAGAGCTGCAAGATGAAGGACTTCCCAATTCACACTGGACTCTCATGTGGGCAAAAAATAAACTCTGTATGTATTGAGTGTTACTTAACTACTGAGATATCAGATTTATCTTCACACAATTTTTCTTCTCCCTCCTGCTACCCTAGTCTGAACTTCCATCATCATTGCCAAATTTTGTGGAATAGTCACCTAATTAATGTCCCTACTCCTACCTTTGTATCCCCCAAATTCATTCTTTACGCAGCAGCCAGATCAGAGTTCTTCAATGGCTTCCTGTTGCACTTATCACTGAGTTGCTGTGTAATCTGGCTCCTGCCTCCCTCTTGAACCTCATCTCATCAGCCCCTAGCTCACTGAGCTGCTTACTCTGCCTCAGACTCAACAAGCTCTTTCTTTTTGCAGGGTCTTTGCCTGTGCATTTCCTCTGCCTGGTTGGTCTCATGGCTGGCTCCTTCCTATCCTTCAGGTCTCAGGTTAGATCTCACCCTTCTCAGAGAGGACTCCCTGATGACTCTATCCAGAGTTGCCCACCCTCCCCCCCCCATTATTTTCTGTCATCACACACTATTTATTTTAAACACTAATAACAATCTATCATTTAATGAATGAACAAATGAAGTAAGCAACTAACTAACTAACATATTTACTCTTTGTCTCATCCACTGACAGTAAACTCCACAAGAACAGAGACCTGTATTCATCATTGTACCACCAGTGTCTTAGTCTGTTTTCTGTTGCTACAACTGAATACCTGAGACTGGGCAATTTATAAAGAAAACAAATTTATTTCTTTCAGTTTTGGAGGTTGGGAAGTTCAAAATCAAGGGGTTGCATCTGGTGAGGGCCTTCTTGCTGGTGGAGACTCTCTGCAGAGTCCTGAGGTGGCACAGGGCATCACATGGATAGCAATTGCATGTGTGACTGGTTCTGGCCAATGAGCTGTGAAGAGAAGTGACACATGGCACTTCCTGGTCAAAACAAAACTGGCTTTTATAATAGACACACTCTTGTGATAACCAACCCAGTCCTCTGATAACCCATCAATCCATTTATCCATTAATCCTTGAGTGAATTAATCCATTTATGAAGGCATAGCCCTCATGACCCAATGAGGGTCTTAAAAGTCCCACCTCTTCATAATGCGACATTGGTGATTGGGTTTCAACATGAGTTTCAGAGGGGCCAAACATTAACTCCATGGCAGCCCATGTCTGATATGCATTTAACATGTGGTAGATGCTTCATAAGCATCACATGATTCAGCATCAGAGACACAGCATGCCCAAGGCAAGGTCCCTGTCCTCAGAAATCTCATGGTTGAGTAGTGAGAGGCCAGGAGTCAGGGTGCAGTGGGTTTGCAACCCAATCTAACCTAATTTGGGGGAAGGTTGGAAGAGCTTCCTGGATAAGGGGATTCCTGAGGCAGGCCCCAAAGGACAGAGGGCTATTAGTTGGCCTGATAGATTAAGAGAAGGGCCTTTTAGAAAGGAGAAGTGGCATGCATAAAGGATCAGAGGGGTGAGAATAGGGTTAAGGCCAGTCCAGAATGACTGCAATGTGGGATATGAGTTGCAATAGCAAGAGATAGGGTGGAGACAGAGCAAGGGCCAGATCATCTAAGGCCTGACATGTCAGGCTAAGAAGATTGCACTTGACCTTGCATCAGTAGGCTGTCATTGACTGAGTCCACGTGTGTTGTGGCAGAACAAACTTAGGCTAATTCCTTTTGGGCATCATGGTGAGGTGGAGGACCTTTGGTTAAAGGATCTTGCCTCTGTTCCTCATTGGCTGCATAGATTTCTCTTCTCCATGGCTCCCAACTCCATTCTGTCTAATACATGTTGTGTAGAAAATAGACTGCAGGAAGGGAATGAGAAGGAAGGATATTTACAGTAGAGAAGTTTGGACATTGGAAGTAATTCCTGGGATGAAGAAAGAATAGCAGAGGGTGGAGTGGAAAAAGCACTGGACTAGGAGTCAAGAACCCTGATTCTGTCACTAATTACTGTATGGCCTTGGAAAACTCATTTTATCTACCTGGGCCTTGATTTCTCCATATGGAAAATGGGGTTTTGGGCTTAATTGGTAATCCACCAAAAGTGTCCAACCTTACAGAATCATACTGGTGGTGGGATTTCAGGCACCATGATCTTGAAGTAGGATGTAATTTTTTTTGTTTTTTTTGTCTATGACTTAAGACATTCCTATAAATGGCTCTTATGCATCTCCTCCATTCCCCTTCTCAAGGGAGAAGGAATACTATGTGTCTATGTGTCAGTATTTTGATAGGCATTGGAGATAAAACATACAGGCCCAATCTCTCTGTTTTCATGAAGCCTACAGTTTCGCACTGGAAAACTGATTTTTAAAAAATCACACAAACAATGTAAAATTACAACCGTGATTAGAACCACAGAAGTAACACATAGCATGAAGAGAACCATTCAAAAGGGAGTCAGAAAAGCCTGGGACAGTTCTGAAGACTGGGAAGTCCAAAATCGAGGGGCTGCATCTGGCAAGGGCCTTCTTGCTGGTGGGGACTCTCTGCAGAGTCCCAAGGTGGCACAAGGCATCACATGGCTAAGGGGTGCAAAAACCAGAACCAAACTGGCTTTTATAATAGACCCTCTCTTATGATAACTCCTTGTAGTAGTGACACTTGGGGGAGATCTGAAGGATAAGTCAGAGATAACTGGGCAGGGAGTGGAAGGTATCAAGTACCAGGCAGAGGGAACAGCATATTCGGAGAGACAGGGCAAAGGCTGGTGTGGCTGGAGCAGGGAGAGAAGCCTGGCAAAGGATGATGCTGGACAGGGGACTATTTAAAATATTGCATATGCAGAGCCTAGGGGATCCAGTTGGTCAGACATTGGTCCTTTGGTTGCTGAATTGTGGGGGGTTCTGACAGGTTGCTGGGGGAGGAGGGAGGATGTCAGGGAACATTTGGTGTAGGTGTGCTTGGGATAAGGAAGTATTTTCAATGTTCTAACAATCTTTATGGCTACGTGGGTGTGTTCCATCTGACCATTAGTGATTGGGACAAAGAGGTGGGCAGGGATCCAATCAACCACGAAGACCTAGAGGACATAGAGTTTGCCCTGACAATATTGGGGAGCCACTGCTGGGCCAAGGAAGGTGGTGAGGGGGCCACAATTGGGTTTTACAGAACTGAGATTAAGCTGAGGAGAGCAAGGTTCTCACTTCAGCCTCAGAACTGAAGTGGGGGCCAAAAATCAGTACTTAAGATAGATTTCTGCAATATTTAAAAATATTTTAAAAAATTTCAAAGTAATGCAAAAAACATTCCATCGTGAGCAAAACATCAACATTTTCAATAAAGACAGCATTTAATCCTGCACTTTCATGATTCGACCTCACTTTCTTCAATACAATCTATGCCCTGTCGGATGCTGTCTTCATGTAAATTTTTGCTAGTTTGTTCACCATGGACATATTTTGCACTCATTTAAAAATATTGCATGAAAATAGTATTTATCTTGATTGCTGAGTATTTAGGGTGTCTCCATAAATGTTGGGCCTGGCCCTAATTTTGAAGCACTCTGATTTTGAAGTGATGACTTGGATCTGTGGATGTGGAGGCGCAGAGGGGCCAGTGTGGATGTGGGGAGTCATGGGGGTGGGGTGCACATGAGAGATGCAGCCAGATTGTCTGAATGCGACAGGAGGGGATGTACGGGCAGGCATGCTGCTCGCCCCCTCTTCTGGGGATTCTGAGGAGGGGGTATGAGGGGGATGCTGTCAGCAGCCCATCTGCACTATGTGACTGCCAGCCAGGCTTGCGAGCCAAGCGCCCACCTCCCTTGGCGAGGCTGTTGGGAAGCCATTTTACCAGGAGAGTGGGAAGCATCTCATGGTCTGACTCGGCCATGCCTTGGGGCTACTCTGATGTGCTCCCTTGGTAAACCCTAATCTGTTCCCTTCTATTGCCCACGTGACCCGCTCACCTCCAGGTGAGCCCTGGTTCCAGCTTGTGGAGTCTTAGAGCCCACTGGCCATGTGCTTCCAGACCTTCTGGGTCTGTGGACCTGCCTGTGTCTTTAATGTTGCAGATTGTGCTCCACCCCTGAACTTAACCTGCTTCTATGGTCCTGCAGGCTGTGGCTGGGAAGCAAGCGACATCCATCTAGGGCCTTGGACGCATGCTAGAAGACCTTCCCATGATGTGAGGTCAGAGTCACCTGGGACCTCTGAGTCCTGGGGACACAGGTAGGATTGTCAAGACAAGGACAGGTCAGGAGCATGTGGGACAGCAGGGGATGGGGGAAAGGCATTGAAGAGGACTAACAATTAACAGCAGAATCAACAGCCAACACCATAGACATCTCAATTGGTTTAGCTTACCAAATTCTGACTGAAAAAGCTGAGCAAACTTTATATTTGATGGGTGTCAAAACTGTTGCACCCAGATCAGCTATAGACAAGAGCACAGTCTCAGTGGAAATTTTATTTTATTTCTTAAAAATGACGTTTACTTCTTGTTAAGATTAAGGTTGAGTATCTTTTAAACAAATTCCAATAGCTTTAGGGTACAAGTGGGTTTTGGTTACATAAATGAACTGTATAGTGACGAAGTCTGGGTTTTTAGTGTACCTGTCACCTGAACTGTGTACATTGTACAAAATAGGGGATTTTTTTGTCCCTTATCCCCCTCCCACCCTTCCACCTTCTGAGTCTCCAGTGTCCATTATACCACTTTGTATGCCTTTGCAAAGCCATAGCTTAGCTCCCACTTATAAGTGAGAACACGCAGTATTTGGCTTTCCGTTCCTGAGTTACTTCACATAGGATAATGGCCTTCAGTTCCAGCCAAATTGCTGGAAAAGATGATTTTTTTTTTTTGAGACAGAGTCTCGCTCTGTCGCCCAGGCTGGAGTGCAGTGGCTCGATCTTGGCTCACTGCAAGCTCCACCTCCTGGGTTCATGCCATTCTCCTGCCTCAGCCTCCCGAGTAGCTGGGACTATAGGCACCTGCCACCACGCCCAGCTAATTTTTTCTATTTTTAGTAGAGACGGGGTTTCACCGTGCTAGCCAGGATGGTCTCGATCTCCTGACCTCGTCATCCATCCGCCTCGGCCTCCCAAAGTGCTGGGATTACAGGCGTGAGCCACCGCGCCCAGCCTCAAAGATGATTCTTTTTTATGGCTGAGTAGTATTCCATGGTATATGTATACCATATTTTTTTATCCACTTGTCAGTTGATGGGAACTTAAGTTAATTCCATATCTTTGCAATTGTGAATTGTGCTGTGGTAAACATATGAATGCAGGTAACTTTTTAAAATATAGTAACCTCTTTTCCTTTGGGTAAATATCCAGTAATGGGATTGCTGGATCAAATGGTAGATCTACTTCTAGTTCTTTAAGAAAGCTCCATACTGTTTTCCATAAAGGTTGTACTAATTTACATCATTCCCACCAACAATGTATAAGCATCCCCTTTGTACTGCATCCACACCAACATCTATTGATTTTTGACTTGTAAAAATTGGCCATTTTGACCGGGGCAAGGTGATATCTTACTGTGGTTTTAATTTGCATTTTCCTGATGATTAGTGGTGTTAAGAATTTGTTTTCATACTATTGTTGGCCATTTGTATATTCTCTTTTGAGAAATGTCTATTCATGTAGTTTGCCCACTTTTTAATGAGATTACTTGTTTTTTTCCTTGCTGATTTGTTGAGTTCCTTGCAGATTCTAGATCTTAGTCCTTTGTCAGATGTATAGTTTGTGAATATTTTGTCCAATTCTGTAGGTTGTCTATTTACTTTGTTGATTATTTCTTCTGCTGTGCAGAAGCCTTTTCATTTAATTAAGCTCCATTTATTATTTTTGATTATATTGCATTTGCTTTTGGAGTCTTAGTCATAAATTCTTTGCCTGGGTCAATGTCCAGAAGAGTTTTTCCTAGGTTTTCTTCTCAGATTTTTCTGGTTTCAAGTCTTACATTTAAGTCTTTAGTTTTTTTCTATTTAAGTATTTAATTCATCTTGAGTTAATTTCTGTATATGGTGAGAGACAGGGATTCAGTTTCATTCTTCTACATGTGGCTATCTAGTTTTCCCAGCATCAATGGAAATTTTAAATAAGTGAGATCAAGATCCTGAAGCATTTCTTTGAAGAATTGTAACAGAAGAGGAAACATGGCTTTACCAGTACAATTCTAAAGACAATGCACAATCAAAGCGATGGCTACTAAGAGGTGGATGTGGTTCAGTCAAAGCAAAAGCAGACTGGGCAAGAGCAAAGGTCTTAGCAACAGTTTTTTGGGCTGCTCACAGAAGTTTGCATGTTGACGTTCTTGAAAGCCAAAGAATAATAACATCTACTTATTATGATAATATTTAGAGAAAGCTACAGCTTTAGCAAAAATGCTCAGAAAAGCTTCACCAGAGAGTCCTTCTCCAGCATGACAATATTCCTGCTCATTTCTCTCATTAAACAACGGTAATTTTGCCAGAGTTTTGGTGAGAAACCATTAGGCATTCACCTTAAAGTTCTGCTTTGGCCTCTTCTGACTTATTTTTATTTCCTAATCTTAAAAAATTTGTAAGGGGCACTCATTTTTCTTCAGTTAAAAATATAAAAATGACTTCACTGACATGGTTAAATTGCAAGAACCCTCAGTTCTTTAGGGATGGACTAAATGGCTGACATTAATGCTTACAAAAGTATCTTGAACTTGATGCAGCTTCTGCTGATAAAATTTATATTCTTGTTATCTTTTAATTCCATTTTCCACAACTTTTGTTGAAGTCCCTTCATAGTTATTGGTTGAAGGACAATGAACAGATTTATTGCCTTTTTTCTATTCTTTTTTAAAAATTTATACATAATAGATGTACATAGTTTTGGGGTACTTGTGCTAATTTAATATATTCACATAATTTGTAAGGATCAAATCATTGTACTTGGTGTGTCCATAACCTTAGATATTTTTTCTTCATTCCAGAACCATGTTAATTCATCTCTTCTTGCTATTTAAAAATGTATGATAGAATGTTATAAACTATAGTCACTCTACAGATCTAGCAAACACTAGGTCTTATTTCTTCCATGAAACCATATATTTGTACTTATTAATCAACTTCTCTTCATTCTTCCCCTCCTCTCTACCCTTACCTGTCTTTTTTATCTCCCACAGAAGAGTTATTTGTTTAAGTTCCTTGTAGGTTCTAGATATTAGTCCCTTGTCAGGTGTATAGTTTGGAAATATTTTCTCCTATTCTGTAGGTTGTCTATTTACTCTGTTGATTATTTCTTCTGCTGTGCAGAAGCTTTTTAGTTTGATTAAGTCCCATTTAACATGTGATATTTGTCTTTCTGTGCTTGGATTATTTCACTTGACATCATGACCTCCAGTTCTGTCCATGTTGCTGCAAATGAGAAGATTTCATTCTTATGGCTGAAAGATATTTCATTGTGTGTATATATCACATTTTCTTTATCCATTTATCCACTGTTGAGCAGTTAGGTTGATTCCATATTTTGACTATTGTGAGTAGTGCTGCAATAAATATGGGAATGCAGAGATTTTTTTTGACATATTGATTTGCTTTGTTTTGGACATATACCCAGTAGTTGAATTGCTGAATCATATGGTGCTTCTATTTTTAGTTTTCTGAGGAAACTCCAAACTGTTCTCCATAATGGCTGTGCTAATTTACATTTTCATCAACAGTGTACGAGGGTTCTCCGTTTTCTGCACTCTTGCCAGCATCCGTTTTTTCCTGTCTTTTTGATAAAAACCACTTTAACTGGGGTGAGATGGTATCTCATTGTTGTTTTGATTTGCATTTCTCTGATGATTAGTGATGTTGAACATTGTTTTTCATATACTTGTTGGCCATTTGTATGTCTTCTTTTGGAAATGTCTACTCAGATCATTTGCCCATTTTTATTTGGATTGTTTATTTGCTATTGAGTTGTTTGAGTTCCTTATATATTCTGATTATTAATCTGTTGTCGGTTGAGAGTTTACAAATATTTTCTCATTCTGTGGGTTGTCTCTTCACTTTGTTGATCATTTCTTTTGCTGTGCAGAAGCTTTTTAACTTAATCTAATCCTATTTGTCTATCTTTGCTTTGGTTGCCTGTGCTTTTGAGGTCTTATACAAAAAATCTTTGCCCAGACCAATGTCCTGTGGCGTTTATCCAATGTTTTCTTCTAGTAGTTTCAAAGTTTCAGGTCTTAGATTTAAGTCTTTCATCCATTTTGTTTAGATTTTTGTGTATGGTAAGAGATAGGGGTCTAGTTTCATTCTTCTGCATGTAGATATCCAGTTTTCCCAGCATCATTTATTGTCCTTTAAATGTGTTTAATTTATATCTGTGTTCTCTACTCTGTTTCATTGGTCTATGTGTCTATTCTTATGCCAGTAGCACGCTGATTTAGTTACAATTGCTTTGAAATAAATTTTGAAGTCAGGTAGTATGATGCCTCCAGCTTTGTTCTTTTTGCTCAGGATTGCTTTGGCTATTAAGGGTCTTTTGTGATTCCATATACATTTCAGAATTTTTTTTCTATTTCTGTAAAGAATATCATTGGTATTTTGATAGGGATTGCATTGAATCTATAAATTGCTTTGGGTAGTATGGTCATTTTAACAATATTAATTTTTTAAATCCATGAGCATGGAATATATTTCTTTGTGTGTGTGTGTCAGCTTCAATTTCTTTCATTAGTGTTTTATAGTTTTCTGTATAGATTTTTCACTTATTTGGTTAAATTGATTACTAGGTATTTTATATTCTTTGTAGCTAATGTAAATGGGATTGCTTTCTTGATCTCTTTTTCATATTGTTTGCTATTGGCATATTTAATTGCTACTGATTTTTGTATGTTGATTTTGTATCCTGCAAATTTATTGAATTTGTTTATCAATTCTAACAGTTTTTTTTGTGTGTGTATTCTTTAGGTTTTCCTGAGTATAAGACCATGTCATCTGTGAATAAGGATAATTTGACTTCTTTCTTTCCAGTTGGAATGCCCTTTATTTCTTTCTCTTGCCTAATTACTCCGGCCAGGGCTTTCAGTACTATACTGAATAAAAGCGGTGAAAGTGGGCATACTTGTCTTATTCCAGATCTTAGGGAAAAGGCCTTTAATTGTTTCCCATTCAGTATGAACTTAACTGTGAGTTCGTCATATAAGGCATGTATTATTTTGAGCATGTTCCTTCTATACCCAGTTTGATGAGGGTTTTTATCATAAAGGGATGTTGAATTTTATCAAATGCTTTTTTGACATCTATTGAGATAAGCAAGTGGTTTTAGTTCTTGTTTCTGTTAATGTGATGTATTTTGTGCTAGTATTTTGTTGAGGATTTGTGCATCTAAGTTCTTCAGTGATATGGCCTGTAGTTTTCTTTTTTCATTGTGTCCGTATTTGATTTTCATATCTGGATAATGCTGGCCTCATAGAATGAGTTTGGAAGTGTCCTGTCCTCTTCAATTTTTTTGAAGAGTTTGAGAAAAATTCTTATTACTTCTTTAAATGTTGGATAGAATTCATCAGTGAAGCTATCAGGTCCTGGGCTTTACTTTGTTGGGAGACATTTTATTATGGCTTTGATCTCATTATTTATTATTGGTTTATTGAGATTCTGTATTTCTTCATAGTTCAATCTTGATAGGTTGTATGTGTCCAGACATTTATCCATTTCTTCTAGGTTTTCCAATTTGTTGGAGTATAGTTGTTCATACTAGTTTCTTATAATCTTTTTGTATTTCTGTAGTCTCAGTTGTTATGTCTCCTTTTTCATTTCTGATTTTATTTATGTGAGTTGTCTCTCTTTTTTTCTTAGTTTAGCTAAAGATCTGTTATTTTATCTTCTTAAAAAAGTAACTTTTCATTTTGTTAATCTGTAATTTTATTTCGTCTGAATTTCATTTATTTCTGCTCTGATCTTTATTATTTCTTTCTTCTATTAATTTTGTTTTTTTTCTTGCTTTTCTAATTGCTTGAAGTGCATTAGGTTGTTTCTTTAAAGTCTTTCTACTTTTTAAATATAAGTGTTTACTGCTATAAACTCCTCTCTTATTACTACTTTTGCTGTATCCCATATATAGTTATGTTGTATTTTCATTTTCATTTTTTTCAATAAATTTTTAAATTCCTTCTTAACTTCTTCATTGACCTATTGGTAATTCAGGAGCATGTTGTTTAATTTCCACATGTTTGTAAAGTTTCCAATGTTCTTGTTGTTATTCATTTCTAATTTTACTCCATGTCATCAAAAAAGGTACTTGATATCATTTCTACTTTTTAAAATGTATTGAGACTTGTTTTATCACCTGATATATAGTCTATTCTGGAGAATATTCTATATGCTGGTGAAAAGAATGTGTATTCTGCAGCAGTTAAGTGAAATGTTTTATAAATGTCAGTTAGGCTTATTATGTAGTGTGTAGTTTAACTCCAGTGTTTGCTGATTTTCTGTCTGCATGATCTGTCTCATTACCAAGAGTGGGGTGTTAAAATTTCCTACTATTATTGTATTGCAGTCTACTTCTTCCTTTAGATCTATTAATGTTTGCTTTGTATACTTTGGGAGCTCTGGTACTGGATACATAAGTATTTATAATTGTTATATCGTTTTGCTGAATTGACCCCTTTATCATTACGTAGTGGCCTTTTATGTCCTTTTCACAGCCTTTGATTTGTAGTCTATTTTTTCTCATATAAGTATAACTACTTCTGCTCCTTTTTGGTTTCTGTTTGCATGGAATATCATTTTCCACCCTTTCACTTTCAGTCTCTGTGTCTTTATAGGTAAGGTGGGTTTCTTATAGGCAGCAAATAGTTGAGTCTTGTTTCTTTATTCATTCAGGTACTATGTCTTTTAATTGGGGAATTGAGTTCACTTACATTTAGTGATAACATTCAGTGTTATTATTAAGTAAGGGCTTACTATTGACATTTTGTTGTTTGTTTTCTGGTTGCTTTGTAACTCTTCTCTTCCTTTCTTCCTGTCTTTCTTTGTGGTTAAGTGATTTTCTCTGGTAGTATGTTTTAATTCATTGCTTTTTATTTTTAGTGAGTCTATTATAAGTTTTTACATTGTGGTTACCATGAGGCTTACAAAAAATATCTTATAGATATAACAAGTTATTATAAGGACATGATAACTTATCTTAGATCACCAAGAAAAGAATAGAAACAAAAATAATTTTAAAAACCTACACTTTAACTCCACTTCCTCTCCCATTTTGACTTTTATTTGTCTCAACTTACATATTTTTATATTACCCATTTCTTAACAGTTTGCTGTAGCTATTATTGTTTTGATATATTTGTCTTTTGGCCTCCATACTAGAGTTATGAGTGGATTGCACACCATAATTACAGTATTAGAGTATCCTGGGTTTGTATACTTAATTTTACCAGTAAGTTTTATGCCTTCAATTTTTTTTTTTTGCACTTCAATGGTTTTTTTTTTTTTTTTTCTTTCAGATTGAAGAACTTCTCTTAGCACTTCTTGTCTGATGGGTCTGGTGGTAGTGAATTCTCTCAGCTTTTGGTTGTCTGGGAAAGACTTTATCTCTCCTTCATATTTGAAGAATAGCTTTGCTGAATGTAGTAATTTTGAGTGACAGTTTTTTTTCTTTCAGCACTTTGAAAGTATAATTCCATTTCCTCCTGGCCTGTATGATTTCCATTGAGAAGTCTGTTGCTAGACAAATTGAGGCTCCTTTGTGTAATATTTACTTCTTTTCTCTTGTTGTTTTTAGGATCTTCTCTTTGTCCTTGACCTTTGAGAGTTTGATTATTATATGCCGTGGACTAGTCTCACTCGGGTCAGATCTTTTTGGAATTCTCTGACCTTCCTATACCTAGATATTTATCTCTTTCTCAAATTTGGGGAAGTTTTTTCTCTTTGAGTAAAGCTTTTTATCTCTCATTCTTGTTGAACTCTCTTTGAACAACAATAATTCTCAGATTTGGCCTTTTGAGGTAACTTTTTACATCTTGTAGATAATCTTCATTGCTTTTCATTCTTTTTTTCTTCTCTGAGTGTGTATTTTCAAAAGCCTATCTTCAAGCTCACTGATCTTTCCTTTGCTTGATCCATTCTGTTGTTGAGAAGAGCTTCTAATGAATTTTTCAGTTCAGTAAAAATATTTCTCAGTTCCAAGATTTTGGTTTGATTTTTAAAATTATTTCAGTCTTTGTTAAGTTTCTGTGGTAAATTTCTGAATTGTTTTTCTGTTTTATCTTGGAGATCACTGAGTTTCCTTAAAACTACTATTTTGAATTCTTGGTGAAAGAGATAACATACCACCATCTCGTTAGGGTCAGTCACTGGTTCCTTGCTTTGTCCATTTGAGAAGATCATGGTTCCCTGTTTGCAGTTGCTTCTAATGGATGTATGTTTATGTCTTTGCATTGAAGGATTATTTGTTTCTGTCTTCCCTGGCTGGCTTCTTTTGTTTTTTATTGGATGTATTTGTTTAGAGATTCTTCACCACTAGGTAATTGACTCATTTTCAACTCTAGGTAGCGCTTTAAGCCCAGGTTCGCCGTCCTTCTAATAAATGATCTAAGCAGTGCCCTTTCTGAATGGGGGGGTCTCAAAGGGGAAACCTCAGCAGTGTGAGACAGCTGGCTAGGGATTCATTCCCAGAAGACCTGTGGGACAAACCTCCTGCAGTGTGATGCTGCTGTAGGTCTTGCCTCCCCTTTTTGTCTGCCTCACATCAGGGATGGTTCTCCTTTCAGTCACTTGTGATGCTTTCTGTGAGTTAAGGTAAGGAGAGGTCTCCTGTCAGAGAACCCAAGATGGTGGAGAAGTTGGTTGCTCTTCTCAATCTCACCTTTTGCAGTGTAGAAACAGTGAGTTGGAGAACAATTTTCTGCATACTTGGTGCTGGGCAGAATGAGGGGAGGGGCATCGTGGATGTGAGAGTCCAGTTCTTTTACTGCCTTCTCGGAGTTTTTTCACGTCTCTGCAGCCCCCAAAACTATCTCATCCTCATCTTTGACTGCTGGGTTATTTCTGATGATAATCTTGGCACTTATATTTGTTTTTTGTATCCTGCTGGTGGGGGAAGGGTGGTGGAAGTATGTGAAACTAGCTTGCTTCTATGCTACCATTTGGGAACTGGAAGACTCACGCATTCTTAAATATTTCTGAACCTCAGTTTTCTCTTCTGGAGAATAGGGATAATAACTATAGCTGCCTTTCAGGACTCCTGGAAGGACACACTGTATTTAACTCATGGAAAGTGCCTGGCACACTGCCGGGCAAAAAGAAGGAGCTCAAATGTGCCAGCTATGATTATTTCCACAATTCTACAGTTGGGTTGGTTTATGTCCAACTCACCTAATAATTTTTGGTAGATAAAATGAGACAACAGATGGGAAAACATTTTTGGAATGTATAAATTGATTTTTTAAAAGTAGTGATTTTTCTAGATTTTTCTAAATCTTAAAAGAAAATCATTCACAAAGGTTGTTTCATCAGTATGTGGCTAGTGGCTTTGACGTGTACCTTTGAACAAGGGTAGAAAGCAGGTAAAGAGACAAAGGGAGGTCACCAGGAGGGTGCAGGGTTCTGGGCTGAGAGTCGTAGGAGCAAAAGAGTCCATACTTCCTGAGGAAAGCGAAGATAAAATCATTTGGGTAGGGAATCCTGGCTAAAGACAGATTCCAGAGGGCCCTGGGTGGTAGGCGAAGACCTCAGGCTTTAACCAGCAGGCAATGGACGTGAAACTAATCACAGTGGCACCCAAGTGACTCTAGCTTCTCCATAGCCCTTTGACCTGACAAATTATGAGTCTGTTTCTCTGACTATATGTCTTCATATGTTGCACAAAGCTCAGAAGAGTTTCACGTAAGCCTTGAGGGCCTGACACAAAAAGCTGGTGAAGGCCATGAAGGAAGGGAGGCCTGTGCCCTGGGGCGACTCAGCCTGTTCAGGGACTCATTGCCCAGCAGAAGGCTTGGTGCCCAGCCCTCAGCCTTCTGTGACTGACTCTATGTGGCTGAGAGTTGGGTCTCAGCCGATTAGAGATGGAGTGGGGTAGATAGGGGGTCCTGTAGGATGCTTCCAAGGCTCCAGGATGAAATCTGCCCCATAAGATGGGATAGACCCATAGATCCTCTGCTCAGACCTTGATTACACTCTGAAGACCCACCCTGGTAGAGATACTCACCCTGGATTTTGAGATTTGTAGGGGTGGGGAAGTGGGAAGGGATAAAAGTTTGCTAAGAACCATGAATGCTCATGATCATTCTATGAGGTGCCTGTAGTTTACAAATGAAGACCTTGAGATTGAGAGGCTAAGAAACTCCCAACTCCAGATTCAGACATGGGGAAGCATTATAATGTGATGGAGAGAATGTGTTAGAAGTCAGGCAGAAGTGGTTTCAGATCCCCTTCTTACCATCAATTTGCTTGCTTATCTGTAAGCTCCTGGGCAAATAACTTCACCTCTTTTTGCCTTCTTTTCCCCATTGAAAATAGGAATAGTCACACCCTTTATTACAAGAATGATGTTACAATGATCTGCGATGGCATAGTTAAAGTATATAGTGCCATATGTGGGAAATGATAAGAAGTTGGTAAGGATTAGTGATGATTATTTCTTTCAGAATCTAATGGTATGGGAAGAATAGAACATAGGCAGGGAGGTAAATCCAGGAAAGGCCTCTCTGGGGAAGAGATATTTCAATTGAGATAAGAGGGAGCCAGCATTATGATTATTATGGAATGACGGATTTATTATAGTTGGAACAGTAGTTGGACATATTCAAGAAACCCAGCACATCCAGCCACCAAGGGGAGGCCATGAGAAGAGCTCATGTAGAGGGTGATGGGATACTGCTGCCTCTGTGCAGTTTGTACCTCTCTGGGCCTGCAGCCATGCCTCTGGAGGTGAGCCTTGGGTAGATGTTGGTCAGCGAGACCTACCATTAGAAAGACAAGCTGGACACAAAATAGAAGAGCATGGGGTCAAGCAGAGATACTCCAGGTACCTCTGTGCCTGCCCATCAGCATATCTGACTATGATGAACTTTCAAGGATGCTGACTGCTGCTTCACTTCCTACTTTCCAAATCTTGTGCAAGTTCCTATTTTGGCCAATTCTCTCCCAGAACCATGCAATAGGGGGATTCTGAGAGCTACAGTTTCAACTTATCCAGTTGACAGCACAATTATGACAATGCTGCTACATTATTTCTTAAGATAGGAAAAACTTGAGGGAGAAGTTTGGGATGGGGAAAATCAATTCTGTTGTGGACATACTTCATTTTATATGTATGTTTAAGATGGCCTCAGTGACCCCTGTGTCCTGCTGTTCATGCCCTCTGTAATTCGCTATCCTTGAGTGTGGGCTGGATTTAATGACTCACTTCTAGCAAGCAGAATTTGGCAGAGGTGATGGAACCTGAGATGAGCTTACAACCATGGCTTCTGTTTTGGGTACTCTTTCTTGTTCTCTCATTCCCTTGCCCTGAAGCAAGCCAGTTGCCCCTCTGTTAGCTGCCTGAGATGCCTACATGGCAAGGATCTGTAGAAGGCATTTGGCCAATGGCCAGTGAGGAACTGAGACCCCTGGTCCAATGACCTACCAGGAACAGAACCCTGCCAACAACCACATGGGTGAGTTTGGAAGCAAAGTTTCCCTTGGTTACACCTTCAGATGAGACTGCAGCTCCAGCCAACAGCATGACCATAATCTTATGAGAGAACCTCAGTTAGAAGCACCCAGATAAGTGGCACTAGATTTCTCACTTACAGAAAATGTGACATAAAAAGTATTCATTGTTTTAAACCACTAAATTTAGGGGGTAATTTGTGAGGCAGCAATAGGTAACTAGTACAGACATTCAAATGAATATTTGTGCTTGGAGCTTAAGGGAGAGGTCAAAGGTGGAGTAAGTGTTTAGCAACCATTAGTATTTGATGGCACTTAAAACCATGGAACTGGATAAGATGATTAAAGTAAGAACAGTGATCAGAGGAGAGCAGAGCTCTGAGGAGTGAGCCTTGGGGGTTGCCTGCCTTCAAGGTTTGGCCAAACAAGGGAAATTTAGCAGAGTGAATGGGCATAAAGATGCCAAGGTGGAAGGAGGGAGAGCAGAAGGGTGTGGTGTCAGGAGTCAGGAGAAAATTGTGTCAAGGAGAGAAGTCTATGCTGCTGTGAGTTCAGTTAAGGTGAATACCTCTGAGAAGATGTCACTGACTTTGACCACAGGGAGTTGATTGGCAACCTGGACCAGCAGCTGGAGTGGAAGAGAAGGCCTGTTGGAGAGGACTGGGGAAAGCAGGGAGCAGGGAAGTGATTGTGTTCCTGACTAGGCAGCAGGAGGTGTGTCCAAAGAAATATGGACTTTCCCTTTCATTTCCACTAAAGCTGTGTTTACTTTCCTGTGTGGTTCTTGGTCTCTGGAAATGGGAGGCAGGAGAGGAAGACAGAGGTTAGGGCTGAGTAGAGGGTGGTGTTAGGGAACTTGACTGCCATAGCTGAAGCAAGTTTGATGGCAGAGCCAGGGGGCTCATGTGGTTTAAATCCTATTTGGGTTAATTAGTTAATGAAATCGCTTTTGCAAAATTATGATAATAAGATAAATCTGACATGGCTGACTCCATCTTGCTTCTAGCCTCATAGGCTGGCTGTCTTCACTCATTCCTGGGCTTAGTCCAAGCTAACTTTGGGAAATAGTTTATAGTATAAATGATAATAGGCTTTCTCCAAAACTCAACCACCTTTGTAAAGCTAATGAAAGGCCACCAGGTTAAGAGGATGTGAGGAGGCTGAATTCTGCTAGGGTGTAGACATAAACCATTACCAGTCATTATTCCAGGAGTCACAAGATATGTAGCTTTCCCAATTACTCCTGCAGATAACATCGCTACCTTAGATCCTAAGATTGGCCATTTGATATGTCTTTTCAGGTGTTTGCATTTCTGAGTACCAATGGCTGTACCTGGACCTGCCCTGACCCAACTGGTCCTGTGGCCCCCACCCAGAAGTAGAATCCCTGGCTTGCCAAACAACCATTGAAAAACCCTAGCCTCTGAGTTTTCGGAGATTGATTTGAGTAATACTTCTGTCTGCCATATGGTGTGGCTGGTCTTGTGTCTATTAAACTGTTTCTTTATTGCAATGCCACTGTCTGGTTTTGTCTGTGTGGTGAGCAAGAAGAACCCATTGGATAGTGATGTTAAGATAGTTTCTTTGTATTGTCTGAACTAGAGATCTATCCTTCAGCCATTCAATGCTTTGCACAGGGACTCTGCCAGGCCATGGTGATCCATCATCAAGTCAGACATCATGCAAACGGGAGAGAATCCAGGGTCTGGAGAGGGACAGATGATTTCATAAACATTATAGGACCTGTGAGTAGTCAAAGTGAAACAGAGGTACATCCTGGCATTAAGGGAGAGAGAGAAGGAGGGCCCAAGGTCGCCTGGGGGAGTGAATGAAGACTTCCTGGAGGAGGTGGCCTCTAGCGGAGCTTAAAGACCTTGTTGTTAGCACAATGATCAGATATTCCAGGCCTCTTCCTGCCCTCCCCTCCAACCCCACCTGCTATTTCTCCTCCAACTCTTCCCTTCCAAGTTTCCCACTGTCCAGCTTTTCCCCTCCCCAAACATCTCACCTTTCTCCTTCCAGTTATCTCCCTTGTCCTCCCCCTTTCTTTTCTCTCTCCTCCCTTCTCCACCCCCTTCCACTGCTCTTTTCTCTCCTTTCCCTCCTTCTTTTCCTCCCGCTTCCCTGGCCCAGGATGAAAGCCCTTCTGCAGCCTCCCAGCTGATGAATTATGCATGTCATTCAGCGGGTGTGCCTGGCATCCAATTAGGGCCTTGGCCAGGTTGATCACTTAGACAGATTAAAATGTAATTCATTGGGGCTGACATTTAAGCCCCAGTGTGAATGGCAATGAGGAGAAGCAAATGCTCTCCCGGTACCTGGTGTGTGTTTGGGGGTGGGGGTGGCTACCTGCACTTGCTTAACTAATTCCAGCCTGGAGTAATATCAACACACAGACTGGTCTCTGATGCACAATGGGACTGGGGAAAGGCCCAATGCAGGCTTTGAGCCAAAGGAAGCTTAAAAGAAAAAAAAAAAACAACTTTTTATTTAGAACTAATTTGAGATTTACACAAGAGTAGTGATAATAGCACAGAGTTCCCATATGCCCGTCACTGAGCTTTCCCTAATGTTAACATCTTATGTAACCACAGCACAAGGGTCAAAACTAAAAAATTAACGAGGGTACAATACCATTAACTAAACTGCTGACGTTTTTCCGATTTCACCCAGTTTCCCACTAGTGTCCTTTTTCTGTTCCAGGATCCAGGCCAGGATCCCACATTCTAAAGCAGCCCTTTGGGATCGTGCCTCTCCAGGGACAGCAATTCCTCCCTGCTCCCCAGACCAGCAATTCTCAAACGTTAGAGTCCAGAAAGTTATCAGGGATTTCGTTTAAAGGGCATGTCCTTCCCTAGACATTCTGATGCAGTGAGTCTTAGATAGAACCCTGGGTGTCCTTAGCAAGCATCCCCAGCCAGACACATACTCCCAGAGAACTGGTTGGTTCCTGGTTTCTTTCTAAGTCAGGTGTCAACTTTAGATTTCCTTCATCCCCTGGCGTAGCCTCAGGATACAGCAGAGTTACCCCCACCCACCACCTACTACCAGACCATGGGGAGACAGCTGGGCTAACACAAAATCCTGATTTTTGAACCAATGGGTCAGACACATCATTTGCCAGGCCAACCCCCCTGGTTAAGTCCTTCTTGAAGAGGGGAGAAAGTGACATTTACCTGCCAGTCACAGATATATACATATTTTCATTTAATGCAAAGAGATTATCTGTAAGTAGATACTATTTTCCCCATTTTATAGGTGAGGAAACTGAACAAAAGTGATATTAAGGGTAGGGTTGCCAGATTTTGCAAATAAAAATATAGGAGGCCCTGTAAAAGTTGAACTTTAGGTAATACAATACTGGAGACATACTTATATTTTTAAATATTGTAATTTACTAGAAATTCACATTTAACTGGACCTCCTGTATTTTATCTTGCAGCCCTGATTAAGTGGTAAGTCTGTGGCTGCAGAGCTAGTAAGTAGGCCCGGATGTGGATCTGACTCTGATTTCTGCAGCACAGGGCACCCTGTGCTTGCCAGCTCACTGCCTGCCTCACCTAGTGAGCTGCAGGCAACATGACGTGGGAACAGTGTGGATTTGTTTCCTGCTGTATCTCCAAGGCCTGGCACCATATGGCAGTAGATGCTTAATAAATATTTGTTAAATAAATGAATGACTAAATGCATTCATGAAGGGACTTGATACTCTCTTTGTACCAGGGAAGGCTGCAGATGATGGTGATTAAACAGAAAGACTGAGTTGGCGAGGTTGAAACTGCCTTTGCAAATTTATAACTGAGGAAATTATAACAGTGAAAGAAATCAGATCTAACTGACTCCATCTTGCTTCTAACCTTTAAGCTGTCCTTGTTCATTCCTGGGCATAGGCTGAACTAACTTTGGGAAGGGATTCAGTTCATGGTTTGACTCTGAAACAAAATAGATAATAGCCCTTTCCCGAAAAGACCCTCTTCTTGCCTGGGGACCAGTCTGCTTTTGCAGGACTAACAGATCAGCTACAGATTACAAATTACAGTTCAGGGGTCATGCAGCCTCTGGCTCCAAGAGCCTGAACCTCCCCAAATTGCTCCTGGGGATGACATCACTACTGTAAACCCTAAGACCAGTGCTTGAGATATTTTGCAGACCCTGCACTCCATGGATCAGCTGACACCACCCAGACCGGCAATCTGGCTCAACCAGTTCTGCCATTGCACCCAGGAACAGAAGACAGCAAGAAAAACTCACTTCAGACAGCAAGAAAAACTCACTTCGACCCCCCTATGATTCCATTTCCAGCCTGACCAATCAGCACTCCCCACTTCCCAAGCTTCTACCTGCCAAATTATCTGAAAAACTCTGATCCCTGAATGCTCGGGGAAACTGATTTGAGTAATAATAAAATTCCGGTCTCCCGCACAACCAGCTCTGCATGAATTACTCTTTCTCCATTGCAATTCCCCTGTCTTGATAAATCTGCTCTGTCTAGGCAGCCGGCAAGGTGAACCCAGGGCAGTTACAAGGTGCTGGGTGATAAAACTGCCTGTGGGTAGGCAAGAGGAGCTGGAGGTCTGTGACCTCATGCCCACACCTGGGGGCTCAGTTCTTGCACACTGAACAATGGCAAAGAGCCCTTTTTGTCTTCACCTCTCAGGGCCTCTGTTTTCTCAACAGTGAAATGGGATTGTGTCTCTTCCAGTTCTAGGCGTCTGTGAGTCTGTGATTTTTCTTCCTTAACCCCACACTCCAGCAGGTAAAGAATATAGCCAAAGTAGAGGATTTGCTGTTGAACACTACACATTTACTTCCCAGGTCGCTATTTCTTCTCCCTCCTCCTGGTCTTTTCCCTGCTCCTTCTCTTCCTCCTCTTCCTCCTCCTCCTTGTCTTCCTCCTTCTCCTCCTCCTCCATGTCCTCATCCATCTCATTCTCCTTCTCCTCTTTCTCTTCCTCCTCTGCCTCCTTTTCCTATTCCTCCTCCTCGTCCTCCTCCTCCTTCTCCTCCATGACAACTTTCTGAGCACCCCCTTGGTGCCTGGCCTTTGTTTTTTTCCTCGAATGCTCCCTTCCGCCCTAGCAGACAAAATCAGAAGCCCAGAGAGACCCGGCACAGCACAGCTCCTCACAGACAAGGAAAGACGCTGGGAGCGCATTGTATCTTTTAAAATAGACCTGTTGTCGTCGGAATGTATTTTTAGCCATGGGAGAGACTGGCATGCACTCAGTGCCACCATCTGCCAAAGGCAGTTGCTAGGCAACTGACACTGACGACAGCGAGAAGATGACTTCATGGAGGATCTGGGGACCCTGGTGGCCCAATCCTGCTTCCCTGTCTGATGCCTGCATGCCGACAGTCAGGCCCATGAGAATACATGTTCCTCTACTTCTGGGAGGGGCGGGGAGTTGATACAAGGCCTGTGAGCTGACAGCATTGGATGCTGCACAGGTAACAAGGGACACTGGGCCATCACTGTCACCTTGCTTGGTAGATTTTCTATTTAGAAACTTCAGATGCAACTGTGGTCTAAGATGGGGGCTCTGAATTCAACTAGACCAAAGAATACACATCCCTCTCCCTGGCAGCCCCATAGGCACTGGTCTGGGTCTGGGCAGGAGCTGTTTGGAGGTAGCTGGCTCAGAGGAGGCTTCATAGACAAAGCAGCAGGTCAGTGGCCAGGACCCTGGATTCTGGCCCAGTTCTGCGTTTTGCTCTCTATGTGAGTTGGGTCAGTCTCTTCCCTTTCCTGGCCCCACCTTTCTGTCACCTTCCAAGTAGGGATACTGCACCAGATAAAATACATTTATGGGAATAAAAAACAGAATAAGCGCAGAATAGAAAACCCATAAGCCAGATCTGGGTTTGCTCATATGATACTTCAGGTAGGATACTGAAATTCTCAGTGCCTTCATCTCTTTATCTGCAAACAGTAGTAGTAACACTTCTGTTGTGTTGTGAGAATTAAACAAAGCAGCACATGAAAGACATGCACCTTTGTTTTGGCATATTTTGGAGCACAATAAATGGGTGAGTATTATTCAAGTTCTGTAGCAGAGACTGTATGTTGTCCACCACGATCGTTTCTTCTTGTCCTTATTAATAGATTTTAAACTGGGCGTGTTTCCAGCCTCCCTTGTAGCTAAATTCTCACCAAAGGCATATGAAAGGAAGGGATGGGGGCAGCTTCTACTTCACTCACTTACAGGAAAATTGCTTCCCTGAGTATCTTCTGTTTTCCTGTCTGTAAGCGGGAGCACAGATATACCTGGGACACAGTTTCACCATGCAGAGCAGGAGGACATGTGGGGGCTGGGGCAGAGCAACAAGATGGAAGGGACCTGGGGCCACTCTTGTCTTAGTACAGTTCATGCACTAAAAAGAGGACTGAGTGAATTAGTTTGCTTGGGAGGCAGGAGCACTGGCAGATGAGTGGGGAGGGGACAAAGAGAAGGAAAAGCAGCCACAGTGTGGATGACAAGAGCTTAATCCCATAGGGAGGATCTGGGAAATCGTGTGAGACAGGCTTTAGGGCAGGCCAGGGAGTGAGGAAGCAGGGGCAGTTTTATCCTGACACCCATCAGACCCTGGTACCTCCAGTCTTCCACATGCTGTGAGCAGAGTGAATGTTGGCAGCCCAAGGGCAAAGATGCAAGTGCTGGCCATGGGCAGCTGGGCCAGAGGGTACAGAAATGGTATGGGGCACCGAGGGGATGTAGGCATAGCTCCTGCAGCATCAGCCATGCTTTGCCAGAAAGAGAAATAGACTTCCATGCTCTTGAAAATCTGTACATTGAGGATTTTCTGCAGCTTAGCTTTCCCCCTAATTAATTTAATTGCCAAGTGCGTGCATATGGAAGGTTTAGGTTTTATTCAGTCCCTCCAAGATCCTGGGCTTTATGTGGTACTCACGGAGTTTACGTTGTGATTGAGGAGACGAGGTTAATGCTAAGAAGCAGCAGCGTCTCAAAAGAGTGTGCAATCAAATGGTTAATGGTGTTTCTGGGGCTCAGGGAGCAAGTGGCACAGGCCCTCAGGAAAGGGGTAGATGAGTGTGGACCAGCATAATCAGAGAAGGCTTCCTGGAAGAGGTGGACTGAAGCTGTTCTTTATCTGCTGGAGAGGACTGGGAGAGCTGGGGTGAAGGGCATCCTTGCTGAACCATGGAATAGCGCCTTCTGTCAGGTGTGGGGTAAGCAGCTACCTTGGCTTCTTTGATGGCAGAGTGGACTCAGGCCAGTGGCTGTTGGAGGTGGCTGCATGGTGCACTTAGAAGAGTGGGCTGCAGGATTCCTCTTAGCTAGGAGTGACCTGGAGGAGGGGGTGTGGCCACAGGGCACATCGCCATTGCTCTCTGTGTCCTGAGATAGGGAGTCTAATGGCAGGTGCCCCTTCTCACACATCTGATATTGCCAGTGTCCAAATGGCATGTCGGGCTCACTGAGGCTGAGGCCTGCCCAGCACTCAGGGAGCAGAGGTGAATGTCCTGGAGTGAACTCTGGGGCTGGATGACCAACTCAGGCTGGGCACTCATGCAGGCAATGTGTCTAACAGGCTCAGCAGACAGTAAGCACTCACACCATCTTGGAAGGCAGGGCTGGGGGCTCCTTAGGGACCATCTGGTCCAGATCCCTCATTTTGAGGATGGAGGCATGAAGCCCAGAGAAGGGAATGAACTTGTCCAAGGCCAGCAGAGGTAACCAAAATTCAGATTTCCTAACTTTCCCAGGCAGCCAGTGCAGCGGACATAGAGCTAGGTGGGGCCACAGACCTCAGATCTTCTGCCGTTCACCTGTGGGCCATTCACTTTAGCCACTGGCCCCTTTTTCTTATTCATGGTAGCTCAGAACTCAAGAGAGGGTGAGATCAGGTTCCTCTGCCTCCAGACATGTGTGTGTGTGTGTGTGTGTGTGTGTGTGTGTGTGTGCACGTGCGCACGCACTCACATGCTCAATCCATGGTAATTAAAGCCTTTCCCTTTCCTTCAAATATCTATGGCTCCTCTCTGCCACCTCTCTGTGTTCTACCCCAATGTAGAACACAGTTCTCCTTGGTGTCTAACTGCAGTCATTCCTGCTTTGCTTTTGGTTTGATTTGTTTTGACATCTAGGCACAGTCTGGTTTTGCTGATGAATGTGAGGAGTGGGTTGAAGTTAGCAGATTAACTTTTATCCTCATTCTGTGTCCAATTTCAGTGGGAAAGAGGGTGCAGGAAAGACTCTAGCCCTCCATTTCCTCAACAATGAATTGAGGAAAAGTGGAAAGGAATGAGAAAATTCACCCTGGCTTCCCAAGTTCCCAGTCCTCCCAGCTCTGGAGGGAAAGTGGAGGGCAGTGTCTCTCAGAGGTAAGGAGGCTGTACAGCCTTGACCCAAACGAAGGCAAATGAAAATTGCCCTTTTGTGGGCTTGTTACAAATCCCATCACTTCTCTCCACTCCTCATGTCTACAAGTGTGGAGCATTCGTTCCCTGTTGTAGATTCTCTCTGCATTTTATTCTTTTAGAGAAAATATGAACAACTTCCTTTGTTCTTTTTGGGGAATTTTTGTCTGGAATGGAGAGAAAGGAGGAAGAAGGGTTCAGCCCTCAGCCCCTGAGAAGGGGAGCCACTCTGGAGCTGGTACTAAGTGACCATGTCCACTGCAGGTGGAAAAGTAGAGAGGCCTCCACGGGGCACCCAACCTATTTGGGGAATCAGGCCTACAAGTCAAGGTACTTATGGCCAATACAAGACATAAGATGAACTAAACTGCGGGAATTGCAGGTCACCTCAAACATACAGGTAGCAAGAAGGGAAAGATTAGTGTGGACTATCACAGTTAGAGAAGAACTATGGGGGCCAGGCGTGGTGGTTCACGCTTGTAATCCCAGCACTTAGGGAGGCCAAGGTGGGCGGATCACGTGAGGTCAGGAGTTCGAGACCAGTTTGACCAACATGGAGAAACCCTGTCTCTACGAAAAATACAAAATTAGCCGGGCATGGTGGCTCATGCCTCTAATCCCAGCTACTTGGGAGGCTGAGGCAGGAGAATCCCTTGAACCCAGGAAGTGGAGGTTGCGGTGAGCCAAGATTGCAACCATTGCACTCCAGCCTGGGCAACAAGAGCGAAACTCCATCTCAAAAACAAACAAACAAACAAACAAACAAACAACAACAAAACTGAGAAGACACTATAGGACAAGAAGCCTGCAGTGGGATGCTGACAGATGGGACTGGGCAGGATAAGAGGAACAGGAAGAGGAGGCTCTGGTGTTCAAGGGGGAAGAGTGAAGAAATCAGAGGCCCCAAGATGTGAAGGAGTAGAAATGAAGCTGGAGAGTTAGGCTGATTTAAGGGCTGCATGGATGGGGGCTAGAGGGGAGCAAATTGATAAAGAATCAGACAGGGCAGGGGAAGGAGGAGATGGTTCTTCAATACCGAGGCCAGACAAGAGAATAGTAAGTCAGAGCATACTCTGATAGCTTAGGAGGGCTTCTGGGGACAGTGGCATATCCATATCCATTTTCTAACAGTTTTGAGAGGGATGAGTAGGAATGGAGGGATCCAGTGAGTGGGACAGAAAGAGGGAAGATGGGCAGTTTCCTGTGGAGCAGACCTGCCATGCATCTCAATTCCCAGGAGCCCTGGAGATTTCCTCATTAATTCCACAGACCCGCTCATCAGTCACAAGAAGGGACAGTGACAGGGGCTTGGTGGTGAGGAGACTTGTCCTGTCAGGTCGAGCTCATCTCTTCGCACCCTCCCCCAAGAAGCCTGAGATGAATGAGTTGGCCTTGCCACCTGCTGTGGGGGGCTCACCTGAGAATAATGAGGGTGCCCTCTCTGACTATGCTGGTCCACACTTATCTGCCCCTTCCCTGAGGGCCTATGTCACGTGCTCCCTGAGCCCCAGAACCACGATGAACCATTTGATTGCATGCTTTTTTGAGACACTTCTGTTTCTTAGCATTAACTTTGTCTCCTCAACCACAACATAACCTCTATGAGTATCACACGGAGTCTGGGAGCTTGGAGGCACCGAATAAACCCAAAACCTTTCATATGCATAGCACTTGGCAATTAAATTAGTTAGGGAGAAAGCTAAGCTGCAGAGAATCCTCACTATACAGTGGCTTCATGAACGTGGAAGTCTATTTCCCTTTCTGACAAAGCATGGCTGATGATGCAGGAGCTGGATCCTTTGTCCCTTCTGACAAAACATGGCTGATGCTGAGGAGCTGACTCCTTTGCATCAAGTCCAGTGCCCTTCTGTCTGCTGGAGTTTCGTTCAGAAACAGAGAGTCCCTTATTGCCCATGGGATGAAGTTTCTCATTCCTTCCCATAGCACCTGAAGCTCTCAATCACTTGGCCTTGGCCTAAAGTCCTGTTCTTATTTCTCATTAGTATCTTATCATCGTCATCATCATCATCACCAAATAAAATTAACTAGCTTAATTGAGCACCTATCTATGCCAGGAACTGTTTTGAGCATAAGATGTGTAATAACTTTTTAATCTTTACAACAACCCTATGGGCAGAGACTATTCCTCTCCATTTCATGAAAGAGGAAACTGAGGCACAGAGAAACAAACTTGCCTGAGGTCTCTCAGCTAGCATGAGGTGGGACTGTCGATTCATCTGACCCAGAACTTCTTGCTGTGCCTCAAGCACACCATGCTGGCTCAGGACTCGCAGCTTTTAGCCAAGGTGGTCCTCCTGTCTACCTCTCAGCTTCTTACCTACCTTCTGAGCAGGTGCATAAGACCTGCCTGCAAGGTCTGTCTTAAAAATATCTCTTCTGAAAAGTCTTCTCCAGCTCCCCTGGGAAGCCCCTCTCTTGGGACTCCCCAGCACACTCCAATTCTGGTACCCAGCACATCATACTGCTGGTGTTCATTCACGTGCCCGTGGCTTCCCTCAAAGGAAGAAACCACCCTTTTTCTATTTTTGCACTCTTTTAAATAAACATTTAATTGACATGAAGGAAATACATTGTCAGCTTCAAGGCTTTTTCCTCCCTCCCTTCAAGATCTGGTGCAGAGCAAGGATTCAATAAGTATTCACTGAATGGAGACATCTTTCTGCCCTGGCTTGGCTCCTCTGTGACCACCCTGTTCCCAACTCTTTGCTGACTGGGAGAATCCAGACATCTCGTACAGCTGCAGCTCCGTGTGGCCCACTTTGGCTGGAATTCAAGGAGTAATTGCAGAAAAATGAGTATTATTACAAACCGCATCAATCAACACCCGTCTCCTCAAATGCTCTCACCAGGAAACAGGGACGATCTCAGTCAGACGTTGTCTTGTTTAAGCCTAAGTGTCTTTCTGGTTACCAGGGAATGTGTGCACCTTGGAGGGACACCAGAGTTGATCGTCTGTAACAGACTCCTTAGGATGTACTGCTTGTCCAGTTTGAGGCTGCAGGTCCCTGGGGATGGACAGACCTGAATTCAAATCCTGTCTGTCACTTTCTCTCTCTGTGGATTTGCACAAGGAGCTTAACTTCTCTGAGTCTTATTGTTCTTATAGGTGATGTGGGGACAGTAATACTTCCTGGGAGTGTTGTTGTGATGATCAAATGACATGGCTTGTCTAAAGTGTCCAAAGATTTCCTAGGCGATTAAAAAAATAAAAGCATCCTTTTCCTCCCACTTCTCAATTAATCATTGTATTCTTTGTTCTCCATTGCGCGTATAGTTTTGTAATCACGAGGACTTTGCGTCAGCAACTTGATGCTAAGGCCCAACTTTATCTGTGTGCTTTGCAGAGCTCAGAGGAACCAGGACAGAGTTTTCCTGGGGAAACTGGGGCTTGCTCTGGGCGTGGGAGGAAGAGTCACGTTAAAAATCAGATTTAGGGCCAGGCACGGTGGCTCATGCCTGTAATCCTAGCACTTTGGGAGGCTGAGGCAGGCGGATCACGAGGTCAGGAGTTCGAGCCTGACCAACATGGTAAAACCCCATTTCTCCTAAAAATACAAAAGTTAGCCGGGCATGGTGGTACATGCCTGTAATCCCAGCTACTCAGGAGGCTGAGGCAGGAGAATTGTTTGAACTTGGGGGGCGGAGGTTGCAGTGAGCCGAGATTGAGCCACTGAACTCCAGCCTGGGTGACAGAGCGAGACTCCATCTCAAAAAAAAAAAAAAAATCAGATTTAAAGATATTCTGGGGAGTGCCAGGATAACGTGGATAAAAGGAGAAAAGCAACTGGGAAGCAGAGGACCCCTAGCCATGAAACTCCCCTCACTGTGGAAACCATCCATGCTTAGTCTGCATAGGAAGTTGTCTGTGTGATAAAGCCTGGATGCAGAGCCTGGGAAACATAATGGATGGGGAGGGCAGGACTTTGCTGCTGTAAGAAGTCTGGGGAGAAGAACATCTTGCCCTGGGCTGCTGGCACATGTAGCAACCTGTTTGGAAAGAAAATTTATAAAACTTGAGACTCAAGTAGCCATGTGCCTCCACTTGCATGGATAGAGCTTGGGTGTGGTAGATTTTGGATGATTTTTGTCAATCTATTCAATTCAATTTAATAAAAATATCCTGATACTCTCTTTGGGTGAGACATAGCGCTAGGAGTTGGGCATCCAGGACAGAACAAGAGAAGTTGACACTCTGTGTTGCTTGCAGTCTTCTAGACTGATGTAGGGGGAGGTATGGATTAGAAACATGGGGTGCTGACCCCTGGCTTGTGGTAAGGGGAGGCCCGACCTGAGACTAGAAAGATGAGTGTCTGGTGCCATTATGCTGTGCCAGGTGGGTCTATTTCCTCCACTTACGATTTACTTTGTCACTTATTAGCTGTGCTACTATAGGTAAATCACTGAATTTTTCTGAGCTTGTTTCCTTTTTTCTATAATGGAACTAGTATTAAAAACTTCCCATTTGAAATAGGTTTTGTGAAGATTAAGAGAGACAACGAGTATAACATATTTATGCAGTGCCTGTGTAATCACTGGTCAGGTGGTGGTAATAGTAGTAGAGATTTGACCCTGAGGGGTCCAGGAGTGGAGGAATTAGGATCTCGGAGTGAATCTATAGTTGGTGGCTTATGATCTGCCTTCCTTTGGCCTTCTCAGACTTTCTATGAAGTCACAAATTCTCTTTCCCTCTGCTATCAAATCCTGGCTATTTCTACACTTAAGTTCAGTTCTGCCCCCATCCTGGTACTCCTTCCTGACAGGGGCAGGTAGAAAGAGATTCACAGAGAAAGAACACAAGCACAATTATATTTCATTTCTAGCCTTGGCTTTGGCCCCAAATCCCGGTGAAACCACAGTGAGTTGAACTGGGTCTCTTTCGTGATCATGCCAATTCTTCATCTCTACAGATAAATTAAATTCCAGGAATCTCCTTTTCCTCATTTTATTTTTATTTTCCTCAGTCCCAGACGTGAAAAATCTTTCTCTGGAGCATCCAAGTGTAGTCTGATTTCCCTATTTAGCAGGGGCTGTGTTGTTAAAATCATCTCACTGTGAGTATACGGTTTTCTATTTCTCCTTATTTTTCTGTTAGTCTTTGCTTTATGTATTTTGAAGCTATGTTATTAGGTGCCTACAAGTTAATGATTGTAATAACTTCTTGCAACGTTTTCCCCATCTGGTTGTAAATATTTCCCTTTTCCCCCCTTACAACACAGGGCTTTGTACCATAGGGGAAGAGTTGCAATCTAAATCCCTCTCAACTAGACAATTTCTTTGATGGCTTTAAGCCAGTTAATTTTCCAGGTCTTGCAATTTCTGATGTAAAAGGTCTGTAAAGAGGATCTGAGCTAGAAAGACTCCAGTAAGATCTCAAACTGCTGAGAGAGTAAAATTGCAGAGAAGCCCACCTGATAACACTGCTCAGCAGTGCTTCTCCCTCACTGTCTTTTATTTTTACTATTTCTCTTATTTCTTCCTTATTAGTCTCTGAGAGCTTACTAAGCAGTTGGACTGCCATTATATCCCTGTGGATTGGGAAAATGATAATCCCCTTTTTACAAGTGAGAAAACTGAAGACCAGAGAGGTTGGTGTGACTTGCCTAGGTCTCCTCACTCAAAAATACTCATAATGGCAGAAACAAGACCAGAACTCATATATCTTGCCCCAAATCACTGCACAGTGACAATATTCTGTACTCAATTCCTTTGTTTCTTTTTTTCTTCATTAACTAGTTTGTTAAAAACAAATATTGTTTGAACCTCTTTCTGGTTTCATGCACTGTGCTAGGCATGTCCTTTTATGAGGCAGTTATGGCTCCTGCCCCCTTGGATCTCATAGTCTGGTGTAGAAAGCGTGTTGACACCTGCACACAGGTGCACTGGTGAGCATCATACCAGGAGTGCCCTGTTTCTCACCAACTCAAAGGCAGTATCTTTGGATGTATGAGCTGTGTCTTTTTTTTTTTCTCTGCATCCCTTTAGACTAACGAGTCCTGGTCTAGAACTCTGTAACCAAAAGGATCTCATTTCAGACTGATGCCTAGTAGAGGTGAAATGGCCATTCCCCCATCAGAATTATAAAGTGTGCAGTTTGTTTTTGTTGCCCTTCTTCGTTATACTGTCTGTCTTTCTTTCCTCTCTCTCTCCTATCTTTCTTCTGATCTCTCCTATTTCCATATTGACCTGGCTTCTCCAGTCTGGCAAACTCATCCCCTCATCTAAGGGTCTTGAGCTTCACTACCCCACATCCTTCTCCAGGCACATGTGTTGTAAGGAAGGAGTCACCAATGGTGGCATCTCAAGCAACAGCTGTGAGACAGAAATTCGGATGATGCCCCCCATGTCTTCCTATATATAAATCAAGAGGCATAAGATTATATCTGACAGGGACTGCACTTTTGTGTCTTCTGAGTTTCCTTCAAAATTCCCTGGGTTCAGGACTCTGACAGCTGCAAATGATGCCGTGAATAACTACTCCATCCTGAGTATCTTCTGGGGAAGAATGTAAATAAACAATGATTTCACAGGATGTAGGTCAGGACATGGAGAAGAATCCAAAGTGGTCTCCTCTCCCACATCCCTCCCACGGGCAGGTCCTTAGGATGTCAGTCCTGATGGTTAGGAAGTGGTAAACAGTGAAGACACTGCACCATCTCTTCCCACTGGAGCTATGTTATTAGGTGCCTACAAGTTAATGATTGTAATAACTTGTGGGGATGAGTAATAACTTGTGGGGATTGTAATAACTTGTGGGGGGAGAGTGGGGATGGCCATCCTTGGGACTTGACCAAACTGGACAGAAGTTGTCACATAAGAAAATTTCTGCTACCCATTCCATGCTCCATGGATCACAGCCTCCTCAAATGCAGTTATCATTAGAGTAAATGTTCGCATTTCTCATCCCCTGCTGCCGGCTGCCCTGGCCTGCCAGAGGATGAAGTTTGTTTCATTCTATAAACAGAGGAGAGGACATGGAAAATCTTTGGTGGCTGTCGGCAGAAGGATCAAAGCAGTATTCAGCAGCCAAATGCACAGTCAAAAAGGCTGAGATCAAAGAGGAAGGATTTAGTTTGAGGGTAAATTCTCCTGTGCCTCATTACAGTCCTCACCAAGGCTGCGATCCTTCCCTGTTGAAAGGAACAAGGATGAGGAATTTTGGCTGCTGCTGGCTGCTAAACCACGTGCTAACAGACAGACAATCCCAGCACAGCTGCAATGTAATTGTAAGCCTCGAAATTAAAATAAAACCCACTGATATATAAGAGGAAAAGAGGAACAACACCAGTGGGGTCAGAAAAAACATTTGCAAGAGCCCTTGGGTTGGCCTAAATCCTACATATAAAATGAGAGGTGTAAGTGTTTGCCATGGAAACCGTCAGGGGGAAGCTGGGGAAATTCAGGCCTTGGCAGGTGATTCCAGTCCTCCACTATGGCTGGTGCTCAGTGCACCAGGGAATATAAATGCCGCCCTCGATAAATAGAAAATCTGGAGAGGCCCGAGCCAAGGATTGGATACATTTTGTAAGGGGAAGGCTTTCTTGCCAGGATGGGGAATTTGCTTCCCAAACTGTATGGTTGGGCAGCCTTGTGTATTTTTTGCTGAGGGGCTTTATTTTAACTTTATAGTGTGAAGCTTTAAAAACAAAACAAACATCTTTTAATAAGATGCCTCCAAGGTATGTGCTTGCTGGCTTTATTTCCCTTCCTTTCTGGGAAAGGGCCTGTATTAGTCTGTTTTCACACTGCTAATGAAGACATACCCAAGCCTGGGTAATTTATAAAGGAAAGAGGTTTAATTGACTCACAGTTCTGCATGGCTGGGGAGGCCTCACAATCATGATAGAAGGCGAATAAATGGCAAAGTCATGTCTTACATGGCAGCAGGTGAGAGAGTGTGCAGGGGAACTCCCCTTTATAAAACCATCAGATCTTGTGAGACTTAGTCACTATCATGAGAACAGCATGGGAAAGACCCACCCACATGATTCAATTGCCTTCCCCCAGGCCCCTCCCATGACACGTGGGAATTATGGGAGGCTACAATTCAAGATGAGATTTGGGTGGGGACACAGCCAAACCATATGAGGCCCCTGGCCTAGGTATGAGAGAGGTGGGCAGCTCTCCCCCTGACTCACACAAACCCCTTCCTCTTTGTGCTTCAGTTTCCCTATCACACAGTGAGGATGTGGGATGGGATAAGCACTTCCCAAGTGCACTTTAAAGACAAGTGTTTGAACGAAACTTGGGCAAGGTACTGAGTGGATGAGATTTAAGTGTCCTGATACTAAAAGGAGTGTGAGTGAGTTGAATACTGTATAAGTTGGCAGGTCCAACTGCCTACCTTTCCCTGGCTTTTGGCTGCAGAGTGAGAGCAAGCTCGACTCTTGTTCCTCACCCCAAATCTGCTTGGCACACTTGCTTTTTTCCCTCTGGACAATCACCAGGGGCCTTCTCAGCCCTGACAAGCAGAATTTTGCTGCAGGCTGTGGGTCTTCAGCCCCTGGAAGTGGCTGTGGCATTGCAATTTCATTTTTCCTGGAAGACAAGTTCCCCTCCTTTCTTTCAGGTCCCTGCACAAGCTTTATTATGGGATTCCCTGGGCTCATTCTTTTAGAGTGAAAGGCTCCTTATCCATTGGGGCAGAGCTATTATTCCTCGAGAGGAAAGCCTTGTCTTTCCCAATGTACTCCTCACATGCCTCTTCTGTCTTGATCAATGTTGTGTGTCTTAGTTCCCTACAGCTGGCCTTACTTTGCATGGCTGTTTGAAGATAAGGTTCTTTTGTTCCCATTTTCTTTCTTTTCAAGCAAACAGATTTTCTTTTGAGTCTGAATGAATATCATCCCAAGCTTGTGATGGGAAACAACTCTCTGGGAAACTTCTCCTGGGGCAGGGCATGACAGCAGTAAGTGAGAAAGAAGCCATTTCCCGTGGTTGGAGAAATGAGCCTGCGATGGAGGTCAGGCTTCTGTGTTGACAGAGAGGGTCCCTAGGGATGAAGGGGGGTCTGCATTCAGGTCTGGATCTGCACTGCTGCCCTGTGACCTTGGGAAATCCCCTTACCCTCTCTGGGCCACGTGGCTGCCATCTGTGCAAGGAGGGGTTTGGATTTGATTAATAGCTTGCAAATTTTAAAAATTCTTCAGAACCCTCTCTTTAGTTGAAATCTATTGAAACTCAATATGAGTCATGGGAAATCACTGGGTGTTTTTATAGGTCAAAATTTTCAAATATAGACAATATCATATGTTTAGCCAAGGGTTTCTCAGCCTTAGCACTATTGAGCTTGTGGGCCAGTTAATAGTGGGAGGCTGCCCTGTGGGATGTTTGGTGGCATTCCTGGCCTCCACCCAGTAGATATCAGTACCTCTCCACTAGCTGTGACTATCGAATATCTTCAGACATTGCCAAATGTCCCCTGGGGGACAAAAGCACCTTGGTTGGGAACGACTGCTTTAACCTAGTAAAACTTAGAAGGTGAGATTCTCCTTTGAAGGTCCATGGAAGGAATGTTACCTAGATCCACTCTCTGTGGCACCAGAGGCTCTTCTGATGAACCAGTGTTGCAGGAGACAGTTTGAAAACAGATAGACCCAGAATCCTGAAGCTTCTCAGCTCAACACTACCATGTGAATCCAGGATCCTCTTTCCAAGTTGGATTTTTCATGGGGCCTCTTGAGGGAATTTCAGCAGCTTCCTCAGTGTTGCTGGCTCCCAGCTCAGAAGGATATGCAGCAGGGCAAGGTGCTTTTCTAGCCATTCTCATTTGGAAACCTTATCCAGGAAGCCTCCCATTATAATGGCAATGAGAGTGCAAGCTCTTGACTCCTGTATCTATCCTGAAAGGGACCTGTCCATTCTGTGCTACCAATCAGAGCTGCTCTCCCCATTCCTCTGCAGGCTCGGACATTCAGGACCTTTGAGATGTTAGCATCAGGACCTAGGGCAGGCACTTAAACAGAAAGGTCTCCAGATAGGTAGGCCAGGTGCATGCTTTGCTGGTGGTAAACAAACCTGTGGTGTATTTGGATTCATTCTGAGTTATGTTGTATGGGGTTTTTAATGCTTACCTTAGCACCTCTGTCTCAGCCTCCCCCAGGTACTGCTACACCAGCAGTAGGAACTTAAGAAAACCTCTCCTTCCTCATCTACAGAATGTAACCACCAAGACTTCCATTATGAGGTGGTTGAGAGAGTCAATTTGGCTGCCAACCCAGTGCCAGACACACAGTGGTCTCTGGGAAAGTGGTCATGAGGGTGACCATGCCTGTGATGATCTCAGGGTTGGGACCACCATGCCCTGGTCTTCCTGGTCAGATGATCTTCCAAGAAGGCCCTCAGCCTCTCCCATGGTGCTGGAGATCTGGATTGACTAAGGCAGTGGCCCCTGGGCCCCATATGCCTCCTAGGGATGCATCCCTTTATGAGGATGAAACCTTTTTTCCGTAATTGGAGATGAGACTTTAAAGCATTTCTCCCTGAGTCTCAGTTTCCTGGTCTGTTGGAATGACTTCATGGGGCTGTTCATTCATTCCACAGATATTTATTGATTGTCTATGATGTGCCATTATACTTCACTTGGAGTCTTCCTTTTTAAAGGTCTCTTCAGGGGTTATTTGCTTTTATTTTACTTCAATTATGTTTTTCCTGAAAATAAGCAGAACTAGCTTTTTTTCCTGATTTTAAATATAGTGCTTACTTCTTATAAGCAAAGTTTCAAACAATGCAGAAAATTATGAAAAAAATAAAAATCACTCAAACTCCTATCTTGCAGATCTACCCACCCTAGACACCTCATGGCCACGTTTCAGAGTTTCTTGATGCATCTACATGTGATTTTACATGTATGAACTAGAGAATTACCCACTATTGCTTTTACTTTTTAATTGAAGTATAATGTGTAGCATGCATATAGGAAAGCACACAAATCCTTAGTGCATAAATCAATTTTTACCAATTTTTACTCTTGTAGCCACATGACACAGATAAAAACTGAGAGCATTCCTGATCCTCATGGTCATTGTCCATACCACCAGGGCAAGCACTATTCTGACTTCTCTCCCTATAGATTAGCTTGACTGTTTTTCAACTTTACATTCTGGGACTTATTCAGTATATATGCTTTTCATGCTTGGCTTTTTTAGTTTGACTTTATCTGGGAAATTCATTCATTTCATGGCATAAAGTAGCAGTTCATTCTTTTTCATTGCTGTATAGCGTTCCACTATATGTATATACCACAATTTATTTATCCTACTACTACATTTCTTTATTCTACCAATGCTGGATATTTGAGTTGGCTCCAGTTTTTTACTATTACAAATAATGTGTTATGGATGGCAAATTAACTTTTAAAATCTGATGGTAAAGACATGTGTCCACTGTCAGTATTTCTTAAGGAAAATGGAAACATGAAACTATCTGTCCCATGTGGGATCTTAGTTTCCCCATTGTACATTGAGAGCTTTGGAGGAGATGCTGTCTCAAAGTCCTTCCATCCAGAAAATTTGGGTATTCTGGGGGTGCGTCTCTGATCCAGGCTCTTGCCTGGTCATCTCTAGTACAAGGCTGGCTTCCATAGGACTGATCCCTTTGGTTTGGGTGTTGACTGACAAGAAAGGCCAAGTATTCCTCAAGAAAAGCAAGGCAAACCTTCATCTTGGTCCCCTTCCTGGAGCCTGGGCCACTTAGAAGGCCCTAGAACCCTTTTTCCCCCTTCTCTAAGTACTCTTGTCTTCTACCCCTGGGAGCATCTTGGCATTTTGGTGAGACTAATGAATAGATCACTCCCCCTGCCCCTGGCTTCCTGCTGGCTCTCCCACTAACCCTAGGCAAAGTGCTTTGTTTCCTACATAGGACAGCAGGGAATGGTTCTCTGTCAGGACAGCAGGGAGTGGTACCCTGGGGTTGGATGCTCTTGGCTTGGATGTAGCAAGTAGAATACTTAGCCGTCCCTGGAGACACAAGCTGGAGAGGAGCAGAAGGCAAGCTCTTTCCACAGCAGTGAGAAGGCCCTGAGGTAGAGGATGGGGGGGATGCGGGGATGGGGGAATGAGGGTTAGTTTAGGGGTGCAGAAATACTCCTGTGGTTCCCAAATGACAGAAAATCTACATTTGTGAATCCATTCCTTAGGACAAACACTACTCTCCTCAGGTAGGTAAAGTAAGAGTTAAAGGCATGGACTTCCTTATAAAGTTTTACTTTCAAATGCTGACTCTGCCATTCAGTATTCAGGGCCTTACACAAGATAATAACTTTTCTAAAGCAGTTTTGTGATATTTAAAATGAGGCTAAACCCTCCTTGCAGTGTTGTCATGAGGATTAAATGAGATAATGGATGTACCCTTTAGTCTACAGTGCCTGTCAGATTGTGAAGCTCTCCACCCTGGCAGAGGAAAGTGAGAAACCTCTACCATTTATATGGAGAAAGACACTGGCCAAGAGTCAGGAACCTGGGTTCTGGCCCCAGCCTTACCCCACCCTAACACTCAGTGTCCCCATCCCTCTGATGATGTCTTAGTCCATTTAGTGTTGCTGTAACAGAATACTTAATACTGCACAATTTATAAAGAAAAGAAGTTTATTTGGCTCATGATTCTGCTGGCTTGAAGGTTCAAGATTGAGCAGCTGCATCTGATGAGGACCTCTGGCTGCTTCCACTCATGGAGAAGGTGGAAAAGGAGCAGGCATGTACAAAGAGAAGACATGGTGAGAGGAAGCAAGAGAGAAATGATATGGTTTGGCTGTGTCCCTACCCAAATCTTGAACTGTAGCTCCCATACTACCCACATGTCATGGGAAGGACCCAGTGGGAAGTAACTGAATCATGAGGGTAGGTCTTTCCCAGGCTGTTCTCATGATAGTGAACAAGTCTCAGAGAGCTGATGGTTATATAAAGGAGAGTTCCCCTGCACATGCTCTCTCTCTTGCCTGCCACCATGTAAGATGTGACTTTGCTCCTCATTCACCTTTTACCATGATTGTGAGGCCTCCTAAGCTATGTGGAGCTGTGAGTCAATTAAACCTCTTTCCTTTATAAATTACCTAGTCTCAGATATGTCTTTATTAGCAGCATGAGAACAGACTAATACAGAAACTGAGGAAGCTAAACTCGTCTTGAACATCAGGTTCTCCTCTCTCTCAGGAACTAATCCATTCCCATGAGAGTGAGGTCTCACTCATCCTCTCAGGAGGGCATTAATTTGTTCATAAGGGACCCATGACCTAAACATCTCCCACCAGGCCCCCCTTCAAATGCTGCCATATTGGGGATCAAATTTCAACATGAGTTTTGGTGGAAGCAAACTACATCCAAACCATAGCATTCCACTTCTGGATCCCCCAAACTCATGTTCTTCTCACGTGTAAAATACAATCATTCTATCCAAATAGTGCTAAATATCTTAACTTGTTCTAGCGCAAATTTTTAAATCCAAAGTCCAGCTATGAGCTTGTAAAATAACAAACAAACAAAAAAAGCAACAGGTTATTTGCTTCCAAGATAACAATGGTAGCACAGGCACTTCCAAGATATAATGGTAGACATTTTCACTGCAAAAGACTGAGAAAATAAAGTAGTAACAGGCTCCATACAAGTCAAAAGTCTGTCAGGGGAGATGTTACATCTGAAAGCTCCGGAATAATCTCCTTTGACTCCGTGTGCCAAATCCAAAACACACTGGTGTGAGGGCTGGGCTCCCACGCTTTGGGCAGTACTGCCCCCCGTGGATTTGCTGGACACAGCCCATGCAGCTCCTCTCATAGGTTGGAGTTCATAAACACACTTTTGGAAACTTTGTTATTTGTTATTGTGGACATTTAAGTCTTTGGTTAGCTTAGTAGTCACGTAGTAATTTGACAGAGATTTCTTTGAATTCCTGGGGGAAAAAAAAACAACCAAATTAGTCCAATCTTTGCAAATGTACTCTGTGTGTGTCTTAAGGCAAGCCTTCAACACTGAGCTGGACAATTTACATCTCTGCCTTAGCCTTAACTTTCTGTTTGGGCAGAGTCTGAAGGTCAGCCAGATGTGAGAGCTTAGGGCTCTTACAGGTTTTTTCTGAATGTGCTCTCTACTTTTGGCAAGCACATGGTCTTCTAGATTCCCAGGAATATGTGAGAACTTTCAAAGCTCTTATCCCTTAAAGTAACTCACTTCCCATCTTTCCTCCCAAGCTTTTTGGTAAGTTTATTGTTTCCCCCAAGGATTCACAACAAGGGACTCTTTTTTCCACTGGGATCTATTCTTTGTCCCAGGAGGCAGTAGCTAATGCATTTGTCTTGCATTGTAGGCTACCACCTTCAAAACTGCCATGGAACTAAAGAGTGGAAGAGGGTGCCAAAAATGCCACTAAACTCCTCTGTTGAGGTTCGGCAACTTTTTTCTGCAGTAAATGTTTGATTATTGTAAAGATTTTATTACTTTCCAGTGTTCAGATAAAGTTTATTCTGACATTTTTGCTAGTATATTTACTGTTTTTGTGGAGAAATGGGGCCTTGGAGTTCCCTACTCCATCATTTTCTTCGATGTCACCCACATCCTCTAAAAACATCATTTATTATTTCTTTTCTTTTCTTTTCTTTTTTTTTTTTTTTTTGAGACAGAGTTTTGCACTGTCACCCAGGCTGGAGTGCAGTAGTGGAATCTGCAACCTCTGCTTCCCAGGTTCAAGCGATTCTCATGCCTCAGCCTCCCAAGTAGCTGGGACTACAGGCACCTGCCACCACGCCTGGCTGATTTTTTGTACTTTTAGTAGAGATGGGGTTTCACTATGTTGGCCAGGCTGGTCTTGAACTCCTGACCTCATGATCCGCCTGCCTTGGCCTCCCAAAGTGCTGGGATTACAGGTGTGAGCCACCACGCCCAGCCTATTATTCCTTACAGTGTGGGTCTGCTGGTAAAACATTCTCCCAGCTTTCTTTTCTCTGCATATTTTATTATTTTTGTCTTCATTTTTGAATAATATTTTCTAAAAATATTCTTTCTCTAACATTTTGAAAAACACTTATTTTTCTTTCATCAGTTTTTCATCTTTTGGTTTCTATTTTTTCTAACAAAAATAGACACCATTCTTATTGCTTTTTTTCTACAATCCAATGTGTCTTTTATTCTTTGGCTTTTGGCAAAGTTTTTTAAGCCTTAGTTTTAGCATTTTATTATAATATACTAAGGAGTGATTTTTAAATTTGTATTTAAATTGGTATTCATCTTGCTTGAGATATGTTGAGATTCTCAGATATGCAGTTTGATGTCTTTTATCAGTTTTTCAGCCAATACCTCCTCAAATAGTTGTGCAACATTGTTCTCTTTCTTTGCTCTTTTGGATTTCAATTACACATATGTTAGATCATTTTATATTATACTTTAGGTTGTTGATGCTTTTATTTTTCTTATTTTCTTCTTTTCACTTTGTGCTTCTGATTGACTATTTGATATTACCTTGTTTTCAAGTTCACTAATAATTATTTTCGACTTTGTCTAGTTTGCTGTTAAGCACATTTAAATAATTTTTTATTTCATGTGTTGTATTTTTTAGCTTTAGAATTTTTATTTGGTTTCTTGTAGAGTTTTCATTTCTCTACTGAAATTCTTCATATTTCCATTTATTTTGTCCAATTTCCCCTCTAAATTTTTAAATGTGCTCATAGTAATCACCTTAAAGTTCTTGTCTGTTATACCAATATTTTTGTCATTTATGGGAACTGATTCTATTGACCTTACTTGTCTTTTGATTATGGGTCACATTTTCTTGTTTCTTTATGATTCCAATTTTTTTTTTCTATTTCATACCGATATTGAAAACAGGTCTGATCTGATCAATTTAAGCAGAAATTAAGCTGAGGAAGGGTTGAGCCTTTGGTTAGTTATGATTGACCTCTGGTTTCAAATGTCTCAAAGGTGTAGAAACAAGTCCCTCACTTCTCTGGGGCTTTGATAGATGAGCATTGTGAATATACAAAATTTCTTTCTGTTTTCTAGCCCTTCCCTCAGCTTCTCAGTGCTACTACTTACTCAGAAAAACTCCTGTGGAAGAGAATTGGCAGGCAGGGACCAGAAGGCTGTATTTGGCATTTTTCTGGATTTCGACCTGCCAGGCTAAACCACATTTGACTTTAGAAGTTTAGGTGATTTTTCCTTGTCCCTGCACAACTCCTCTGCCTCTGATAGGCTAATCCTTTTACCTATTTTTGACCTTAACTTGGCTACTTCTCCCAAAGATATAACTGCACTCATATATATTTATCTGTACTCATTTAGGAATAACTTGTTCCCTCTGTGGAATTTAGCTCAGTTAGGTTTCTCTGTGTCCATAGTTCTTTGATAGCTTTATATATATATAATTTTTAGAAGTCTATCCACTATTTTTTTTTTTTTTGTTGTTGTTGTTAGAGTGTGAGCTTTTAAAAGCTTCTATGTCCTAACTGGAAGCAAAATTCCATTAGTGCTCTTATAAGCACTTATATTTTGAAAAAAATTTAATTAAAAAAAGCCAAAATTATAATTGCTTGAGTTTTTTGTATTAAGCTAGGCATTTTTTATGTGGTAAACCACACTGATTGATTTTCAAATATTAAACAAACCTTGCATACCAGTGTTGACAAAAAGAGTCAAACTCTGTAAAATATTCAAAGAGATTTATTTTGAGCCAAAAATGAGTGACCATGGCCTGTGACACAGCCCTCAGGAGGTCAAGAGAACATGTGCCCAAGGTGGTTGGGGTGCAGCTTGGTTTTATGCATTTTAGGGAGGCATGAGACACTGATCAAACACATTTGAGAAATAGATTGGTTTGGTCCAGAAAGGTGGGACAATTTGAAGCAGGGATGGTGGTGTGGGGGTGTGTGGGGGCTTCCAGGCTATAGGTAAATTTAAACATTTTCTGGTTCACAATTGGTTGAGTCTGTCTAAAGACCTGGGATCAATAGAATGGAAATGTTCAGGTTAAGATAAAAGATTGTGGAGACCAAGTTTCTTTTGAAGTCTCATAGTGGCTGCCCTTAGAGACAATAGATGGCAAATGTTTTCTATTCAAGCCTTTAAAAGGTGCTAGACTTTCAGTTAATCTCTTCAGGATGGGGAGTTCCTGGAAGAAAAAAATCTAGCTATGTTAATAGAGATTCTTTACAGACGTAAATTTCCCCCCACAAAGGATGGCTTTGCAGGGCCATTTCAAAATATGGCAAAGAAACATGTTTTGGGGTAAAATATTTTGTTTTCTTCTTTGTCACGTATGTTACGCTAGAGTCAGATTAGAAAGGAAGTCATGATATAGAGGGTTAAATAAAACCCATCTGATGAGAATTTATGGTTTGTAGGGTGTGAAAGGGAAATATCATGGACCCCCAAAACCACTAAGCTAAAGAGAAATTCAAGCTGGGAACTGTTTAGGCAAACCTGCCTCCCATTCTATTCAAAGTCATCCCTCTGCTCACTGAGATAAATGCATATATGATTGCCTTCTTTGGAAAGGCTAATCAGAAACTCAAAAGAATGCAACTGTTTGTCTGTCACCTACCTGTGACCTGGAAGCCCCTTCCCCACTTTGAGTTGTCCTGCCTTTGCTTCGAGTTGTTCTGCCTTTCTGGAATGAACCAATGTTCATTTTACATATGTTAATTGACATCTCTTGTCTCCCTAAAATGTATAAAACCAAGCTGTGTTCTAACCACCTTGGGCACATGTCACCAGGATGTTAGAAATAAAGTTTTGGTGCTGCAAAAGAAATAGCACTCGAATGTAAGATTTTCTTTCTTATTTCTTCTCAGCAAGGCAATTTATTTCTATAGAAGGGTGTGCCCTCACAGATGGAGCAATGGTGAGCACACACCTGGACAAGGGAGGGGAAGGGGTTCTTATTCCGGACATGTGGCTCCTGCAGCTGTGTCATTCCCCTATTGGCTAGGGTTAGACCACACAGGCTAAACCATTTCTGATTGGCTAATTTAAAGAGAGTGACGAGGTGAGTGGTTTGGTGGGAAAAATGGTTATGGCATAGCAGGAAATTGGAATGAGTCAGGGTGGAGAATGAGCAGGTAATTGGAATGAGTCAGGGTGGAGCAGATAATCGGAATGAGTCAGGGTGGAGCAGGTAATCGGAATGAGTCAGGGTGGAGCAGGTGATTGAAAAAGGTTGCTTTAGGAGGAAGTTAAGTTTAAAAGTAGAAGGCAAAGAATTGAACATATTGACATATTGATTCTTTGAAGAGAAATTTAGAACTCATGTCTAACAAGGACCTCCTGAGGCTGTGTCACAGGTGTCCATCCTCAACCTTGGTGAAATAAACTCTCTAAATTAACTAAGACTTGTCTCAGATTTTTGGAGTTCACAAGAGCATGACTCCCCAGACCCCTTGGATATTTGGGCAAGATAAGAAAAAAACAGAGCTTAGTCCTCACCAGGAATAAGCCTCAGTTTGTTGTAATACATGTTTTTATATATCACTAGATTTGAATTGCTAGTATTTTAAAGGATTTTTTTTCACATAGGTTTATAAGATATATCACTATTTAATTTTTATTTTTTCATAAGGTCCTTTGTGGGTTTTGGAATCAAGGTTATGCAGGTCTCATTAAAGTAGTTTGGAAGTATTCCCTACTTTTTTATTCTCTGGAAGAGTTCCTGCAAGATTTTCATTGATTGAACCTAAAATGCTTGCACAGAATTCTCTTCTATATTTACCTCCACAATTTCACAAACAAAACAGTAAAATTAAAAAAAAAATAATTCAAGCCCACATCTGGAACATTAAGCTCCCTCAATCATGTCTGAATATTCATTGAAATTTGAGATTAAGTAATGTGATTTTCTTTTTCTTAACTGGGTATTTCTTACACTCAAAAATTTCAGGTTCTTTCATTTTTTTTTCAAGTTGTCTTGGAATTCTTCTTAAGCTTTCTGCCTTTCTTTTGCCTTTCTCTACCTTCCCATACCTTTTCTCCATTCTCAGCCTGATGGAAAATATGGAGTCCATCCTTCTTGGGTGCTTGCAAGACTCCTACAGACTCAGCTTATGCTATTATCAAGGGCACTCAAAATTTCTTTTAGTGAGTGTGACTCTGATGCTTTCCTGGCTGGAAGGTCACTATGACTTGGTTCTGAAATCCAGCTGAGTGAGAGGCTCTAAGAAGCTTCTATTTTAAGACTAGCCCACTGTGATATTGTGAAATATATAAGTGATCTTCATCCTTCATTTCCTAACCTAAAGCTCCTAAAACCTCTTAAATACTTAGAGCAATAAGAGTGTCTTTTGTATTCTAATGAGATGACTGATGGCTGGGGGCTCCCAGATAGCCAGAGGATGGGAGCTGGTCACCAAGGGAACCAACCATGTGATTAGAGGGTAAGGGAGAGACATTGAAAGTTGGGTTAATTATCAATGGCCAATGACGTAATCAATCATGCCTACAAAATAAAGCCTCCATTAAAAAAAAAAAGGACTGGGTTGGGAGAGCTTCTGGATAGCTGAACATGTGGAGGTTTAGGGTCAGGGGTGGGGCAGGTGGCCTACCAGAGAGGGCATAGACGCTCTATGCCCCTTCCCAGATACCTTGCTCTGTGCATCTCTTTCATCTGGCTGTTCACTTGTATCCTTTGTAATATCCTTTCCAATAAGTGAGTAAAGTGTTGACTTGAGTTCTGTGAGCCATTCTAGCAAATTAATTGAATCTAAGGAGGGGTCATGGGAATCCCAATTTATAGCTGGTAAGAGTCACAACCTACTACTTGCAACTGGCATCTGAAGTGGGGAGCAGGCTTATGGGACTGAGCCCCCAACCTGTGGGATTTGCTGCTGTCTCCAGGTAGATAGTGTCAGAACTGAATTGCATTAGAAGATACCCAGCTGGCATTTCTTGGAGAATGTCTTGGTGTATGGGGAAATACACACATTTGGTGTCAGAAGCATTGCGTTGAATGGTGTATGAGAATGGAGAGGAAAAAATACCTTTTTTTTTTTTTCTATGTCTTAGGCCCGTATCCAGTTTGGCCCATTTTGAGTCCTAGCAGGTTTCAGGGTTGAATATTTTCCTGGGTTTAGGTCATTCTAGGCTACTTTTGAGTAAAGCTCCCCTTTAACTGTCAAATTAAAGAGAGAAGCACATTATAATTTTAAATGTAACATTTGTTAAAGTGCTTCTCTCAGGTTCTGAGCTGGTCACTGAGGGTGCAAAGTGAACCCAAAATGTCCCTGCCCTCATGCAGTTCATACCTTGGTGGGAAAGGCCGAATAGCATGATGGTTAAAGCTAGAGTCAGACAGAGATCTAGATTTGAAGACCAGCTCTGTGACCTTCACTTAACCTTTCTGTGTCTTAGCCTTGTCATCTATAATTAGAATAACAATAGAATCAACTCCATAGCATTTTGTGAAGATTCAATGTGACATGCTTGCAAAGTGCTTAGCACAGTGACTGACACAACCAATAAATGAAAATGGAAATCTTAGTCTGGATTCCCCGAAAAGCAGAGCCTGAGACAAAGACTAAGGTTCAGGTAGTTTATTTAGCAGACAATCCCAGGAATAAGGGAATAAGGGAACATGAGACAGGGTAGTGGATGAAAAGTGAATGTAAGGGTCTCTAGTTGAGATTTTTGCTATTGTCAACTTGGGTCTTAGTTCCAGAGACCCATTGGACAATTAACAGAATATCTACTAGAATTGTTCGCCTGAATAACAGGAAGCTGGAGCCTTTATCCACTGGTTCTTGCCCCATTGGTTAAAGGTTGCTCCTTCTGTGCTAACTTGTGCATGGGCCAGGTAGACTTTCCAACATCAGAAGGAGCCTGGGGACAGTAAACGGAAAGCTGCATGGCCCGTAATTGAGGTGAAATTTGTCAACATGAAGGGAATCTGTACTCCCATGGTACAGTCTACAACAACTGCAGCTGAAATCAGTGGTGGGCAGAGAGGACGAGATGTGGAACACCAGAGATACCTGTGGAGTCCTAATTAGAAAAAAGGAGTTGGGCTGGCAGGACTGAAAGCAAGCAAAAAGAAAAAGCAGGTAAGCTACAAGTTTGTCTTTCTTCACGGTCCAGGACACAGCCCTTCTGTGCAAATAACTCACAATATTCCTATGTCCAGGTATCACCAGACCCTTGGCTGATAGAAAAATTGCAAGTTAGTGCCCTGTAACCTTGCCATAATCAGTACTGCATGCAGTACTCGGCCGCTCAAGAACCATCCTATAAAATTTCCAGCAAGCCTTTGCTTCCCTGGAGTCAGCTCCTTTCTTGCTGATTCTGCCCATTGCTCCCTTGCAACATATTTTCATACTTTCTCTAATAAATCTGCCTTTTTTAACCCACAACTGGTAAATTTGGCCTCAGATAGTCACTGCCTCAGATAGTCACCTTTCACCCATGACAATGTCTTTTACCGTCCACTCCTTGCTCCACTTAGATCTGCTCATACCCACATTAAGTTTACACTGTCACATAGTCTTCATGCTGGTTGCAGCTTCAATCTCCATAAAAGACCTAAGGCAGCAGAGTTAGAAGAACAAGTTCAGTATCCATTGCTGCAACAGGGCCTGAGTCCAAGTCTACCTGGTGAGATGCTCCAGACTCTTACCCCTGATGGATCTGAGACCTTGGATGACTTGGCTTGCCACATTGAATTTTCTTTAACTGAACATAGAAGCACCCTTATATATAGCAGCAGCCCTAGTTTTTAATGATAATCAGTGTAGTAACTTTTTTTTTTTTTTTTTTGCCTCTGGTCCACTGGTAACAAGAGTCTGAAGTCATCAGGCAGCAGATCTAGTTTCAAGTTCAGTGGACTCTTTGTTGGGTCAACCGGTCAACTGTTGACCCGTGGAAGCATCCCTCCACCCCCAGAAAACGACCTGATATTCCACAGAGCCTAGGCTCTGGGGAACATGAAACACAAATTCTGCAAGTGATGCAGAGTGATGGTGACAGGGGTCAATATTTCTTTCACCTCTTGATTCTCAGACTGGTCTGTTCTAGCCTTTGAGGCACAGCATCACATTTCAAGTATTATAGAGCATATACTGCATCCTGTAGTACAACATTCCAACCCTGCAGCGTGTTGATACCAAGTTCATTCCTTAGCACATCTCCTAATAGACCTTCCATTGTTCTATTATGCTGTTTCCAGTGGATGCAGCATATGGTAGGACCAGTGGGTCCTGGGGCCATTTGTTCACAGACCCATCCTTAACCACAAAATAGCTCCATTTTGTTGATGTGATTACATCCTATGTAATCATGGGATTACATAGGATCCCATGATACAGATTAGGCAAGAGCCCTCAGGTGGTATTGTTGACAAAGGATGCTGTGAGCAGGGAAGGCAAACCCATAAATCCATATCCTGAGTAGGTGTCAATTCTGGTAAGGATGAGTCACCATGTCTCCCCATGTCCCAGAGTTAGGAGTCTGACATAACCAACTTGTTACCAAAGAGAGTTTGATTCCCACTTAGGATAGTGCTATGGTGAGGGCTCATATTAGTTTCTGCTGCTGGCCAGTGGGCATTCGGAGCAGTATTGCCAAGATCAGCCTTGGTGAATCAGAGCCCATGCTTAGCCACCATAGCTATTCTGTTCATGGGTTCGTTGTGCAAGAACTGCATGGCTGAGGAGGGAGGCTGGTTGACATGACTTGGATGAGTTTTGTCCCTCTGTTTGTAGAGTTTCTTATTGGGCATTAACATAAAACACAAAGATCTACACACTGTCCCACTCCCATAGATGAATCCTCATGATTCTTTCTCACATCTCTTTGTCACTGATTTAGGATCCTATCTGTCACTTCCCAGGCCCCTGAGTAATTGGCCAAGCCATTCACCACTGTTCAGAAGTCATCATGTATGTCTTTACCTCAGCTCACTTTTGTGACTATTTAAAGTGGCAACCAAGTATATTGCTTAAAATTGGACACCAGGAGGATGTTTTTCTCATCACTATCTTTTGAGGTCACTCCTGAGAGTGGCTGGTATGTAACAGTTGAATTTTAGCTCATCTTCTTAGGGCAGTCCATATGTAAACCAGGCCTGTTTGCCTCTTCCACCAGCTAGCCGTGGGGAACCTGCCATGAGGCAGTGGACGGATGTGATTGAGGGGAAGCATTGGTGCAGTAGAGGGAGACAACGTGGGGTCAGCCATGTGTGTGTAACTTTCTTGTGCTAGCCAGACTTGCTCAGTCACTATTTCTAATGTACCAAATGTGCTTGCCTCATCTTGTTGCTGGATCTGAAAATACTCAGCTCATAATGGGCGGCTCTGGTTGCCTATTCACTTGATATCCCATAGTAGGTAGTGGCCATGAGAATGAACTTTGCGGGCTTCCAACTATGGCTTCCAATCATTGAACCAGGGCACCAGCTCCTTGCTGCTGAAGTCTGTCACAACATTTACATCAAGGCCATGCTTCCCACAGGCTGCTCCTAGCTAACAAACGAGTGTAGCAGGGATACAAGGGCAGACCCATTTCTGGGAGACTCAAGACTCCTCTAGTGATTGACATAGGCTTCCCGGCTCCCTGACACACTTGCTGGACCTTCTTTAGTCTTCATGGTAGCCTAGGATGCTTTTACCCAACCTTCTTGTTATCTCTCCTTTGCAGATTCTATCACAGTCTGGCAGCTCTCCTGGACTTTCCCGGCTCCCTCCCCAATTCCCATCCATAGGCATCTCCCCTAATAAAATCTTTGCATGTTTAATCCTGTTTTGATGTCAGCTCCTTTGCACGTTTAATCCTTCTCAGACCAACGAAAGTGGTCTCGGAAGACAGGTGGTAAGATGGGGGTCTGGGACTGGATCTCCTAGCAGGAGTGGAGGATATCATCTTGGGTGATTGACGAGGCACAAGGTGATGGCTCAATTGCTAGATTTTGCTGGTGGTGAACTGAAAAAAATGTCCCACATTAGGGGGAATGCTGTAGGAGGTGCAATGATGTAAGTATTTGAAAAATACATGGAGAACAAAGCCTACAAAGGCAGTAGAGTAGGCCAGGTATGGCTAAGCTGCACACTGCAGAAGGATAATGAGAGACAGAGAGCTGTTAATGAGCAGATAATGGCTAAGTGTGAGATCAAGGCAGCCTTGGGGAAAGATTAAGAAAAGGCCCTTCTCAGCAGTAGTAGGAGGGCAGACACAGTTGGACTATAGTCTGAAGACTTCACCACAAATGTGCTGGCGAAAGGAGCACGAGTATCACTAAGAAGTTTAGTGGTAAGGCCGGGCACAGTGGCTCCCTCCTGTAATCCCAGCACTTTGGAAGGCCTAGGTGGGCGGATCACTTAAGCCAAGGAGTTCAAGACCAACCTGGGCAACATAAGGAGGCACTGTCTCTACACAAAATTTAAAAATTAGCCAGGCATGGTAGCACATGCCTGTAGTCAAAGCTACTTGGGAGGCTGAGGAAGGAGAATCACTTGAGCACAGGAGGTTGAGGCTGATGTGAACTGTGATCATGCTATTGCACTCCAGTCTGGGCAACACAGCGAGACCCTGTCTCAAAAAAAAAAGGAAGAAGTTTAGTGGTGGTTGTGGGGTGGCCCTCTTCTGCAGGCCAGGGGACATGGCAGGAGAGGTGGCCGTAGAACTGGGTTCATTAACATTGATGAAGAAGAGGGGGAGTCTCAGAGTCACTCATCCTGAGGCTGGGTAGTGGCACTTAAGTGCCAGAAGGCAGGAGGCTGCAATTACTTTAATGATCACCAAGGCCAGAGGATCAGACAAGAGGGTTTGACCTGTAAGGAGTGGTGGAGATGGTTAAGGGAGTGTGATATCTATAGGGGAACACAGACAGACTGTCGACAGAGGTGCTGCTTCACATGCATGATAAAGGATAAAGCAAGCATGGAGGAGTAGCACAAGGCTGAGGGAAGCTGTCCCAGTAAAATGCCACAAATCTTTGCTCAGTTCCCAGATCTGTGGCAATTGTCAGATCTTGAAACCGCTGAATGAAAAGGTGGCCAGATCCTTAGAAAGAAGGACTTCGCACAATTGCAGCAAGTATATACCATGATAATTTTCCTAGTTCTTTTCCGAAGGGATGTATGGTTGTTTATTTGGGTGACTGTGTACTGAGCAAATATTTTCAGGACTAATGGACACAGATTCTGAAGTGACATTGCTATGTAGAGACCTAAAGTGTCACCATGACCCCCCTGTTAGAGTGGGGACCTACGAGAGCCAGGTAGTGAATGGAACTTTAGCTAAAGACTGGCTTACAGTGGGCTCACTGTGTCAATAGACCCCACCAATAGTGGTCATTTCTCTAGTGCCCAGGTGCATCAGTTGGGAGTGATATATTTGGAGTAATCCTCCAAGGATTCCCAGGATTCCCTGGAGAATGAATAAGGAATCCATGGTCTGTGAGGTAAGAGCTATCACATTGGGGAAGCGGAAATAGAAACCTCTGAAACTGCCAGAAGCCAATAGGCTCCCACTTCATGGCCAAGTTAGTAAAGAAAAAACAATATTGTATCCTCAGAGAGGGATATAGCAGAGATTAGCACCACTGTTAAAGACCTAAAAGATGCAACGGTGGCCCGGGTGCAGTGGCTCACACCTGTAATCCCAGCACTCTGTGAGGCCGAGATGGGAGGATCATGAGGTCAAGACATCGAGACCATCCTGGCCAACATGGTGAAACCTTGTCTCTGTTAAAAAAAATACAAAAATTAGCTGGGTGTGGTGGTGCATGCCTGTAATCCCAGCTACTTGGGAGGCTGAGGCAGGAGAATCACTTGAACCCAGGAGGTGGAGGTTGCAGTGAGCCATCCTGCCACTGCACTCCAGCCTGGTGACAGAGCGAGACTCCATCTAAAACGAAACAAAACAAAACAAAACAAAAAACAAAAAAAAGATGCAATGGTGGTGGTGCCTTTCACAATTCCATTCGATTCATCAGTCTGGCTGCTGCAGAAGTTGAACAGCCCCTGGAGAATGACTGTAGACTACCACACACTCAACCAAGCGGTAACTCTGATCATAGCTGCTGTGCTAGGTGTGGCATCCCTGCTTGAGCAGGTGAATAAGGCTTCTGCTATAACGTATGCTGCAGCTGTAGATTTGGTGAACTCAATCTTATCCATTCCAACTAGAACAATTCGCATCTACATGGGATGAAAAATATTCAGTTACAGGGTTAGCTGCCTCTCACAATATAGTCCATTTCACTGCCTGGATGTCCCAAGAACATCACGCTCACATGTTACATTTACAACTTCATGCTCAATGGACAGGATGAGCAAGAGGTGGCCAGCCCTCTGGAGGCTTTGTGCTCCAGAGGGTGGGAGATAAGCCCTTTGGAAACTCAAGGAAGGGACATTTCAGTGAAGGTTTTAGGAATCCCATGGGCAGAACATGCTAGGATTTCTCCACTAAAGTAGAAGAAAAATCTAACTGTCTTGCAACTCTTGCTAAAAAGAAGGAGGCAAAGTCTCCTTGGTATGTGAAGGCAGCACATTCCACACCTAGACATGTGGCTCTAGCCCAAATTCCAGATCACATGAAAGACCACCAGGTTTGAGTGGGGTAGGGTCTGAAGAAGAAATGGCACTGGCAAGTCCAGGCTGTGGATCAATCAGTCCTGTTGCCTAGGTGATATGATTTGGCAGGCCTGTGACGGTGGAAACGTCAGGGATAGGAGAAGGTGCAGGTGGAGCTCATGGCAAGCTCCAGTGGGAAGATCATGATGTGGTCCCTGCAATTCTGGTGTAAGGCCATGCCTACTACATTAGGGAATTAAACCCCTTTGAGAATCGCCTCTGTGCATTAGTGGGTCCTGGTATCAAAAAAATGCTGGACCATGGACACCAAGTGACCATGCATCCAGAACTTTCCATTAGGAGATAAGTCCTGGCTATAAATCTCTTTTAGGAAGGACTGGGGGTATGTTTATAGTTATATATTTATAGTGACATTGCATAGTCCTCTCTTGAAGGACCCAGACTCCTTAAAACAATGAGCTCAGTAGGTTTGACAAGTGGTTCAGATCTGGAAAGATCTAGTAAGGGATTTTTCATTGTTATGGCCGACATAAACTTCTAATCATCACCTCTTGACTTTCTCTGATTTTACAAGTTAAACAACATTCAAGTTGGCTGCCTGTCTACTTTACTTCTAGGATTACCATGACCTATTAGCCATTGTCATAGATCTCTGTGGGACAAGGCATCCTGGTTGCCACTCTGGTTTTTTTGCCCATTAAGGTAATTATTTCCACCTTACCTCTGGTTATGCAGCACAACCTGGCCTCTGCTATTCCAGACTCATTCACACCGATACTAGGGATCCCATTTCTATGGTAGCTAACAAGGATTATCACCACTGAGCTTCTCAAATAATTCCTTCCTGCCTAGCAAATTCTTTACTGCCTTAGTGAAGGGATCCTCTGTCACTCTCAGGAAACATTATCAGGTAGTGAGTCCCTCATTCTAGGAGATGTATTTATTTTAACAGTTCCACATCCCTGAACCTTCTCATCTCTTCATCAATACTTGGCCATTCGAATTGGCTAATTCTAACATCTCCATTGCATTTGCTGTAGGCTGTCATCATGTCCCTGCTTCATGGGTCCACTCTCATAGCATATTAGCATCTGCCCGAGGCATTCTTGAATACAGTAAGTCCTGCATCATGAGAATGTGCTCTTGTGCTAATAAATTCTCTCCTACCCAGTATTACCTTCTGCTCCACCCCTCAGGCTTACCACCCTCAAGACCAACCTCCATGCATGTTTTTCTCTGTTCCTATCAGGACATAATAGCCACATCACGCGATTCATTCACTAGGAAATCCCTTTTCTCCTGGGGAAGGGACTCATGTTCTTGTTTAAGCTGTGCTTAAGCCTGGCCCTGGTTACTGGCTTGGGAGAATGAGTGGATTGGGTGATCTTGATGAGGAAAAGCTTTATCTTGGGAAGCATCTATCACAGGTCAAGTCTATGCATTGTTACCAGAGTACAAGTGTCTTGTGTCTCCTAGTAAGGAGAGGCTTCCTTCTGCCAGGCTGGAGAGTTTAGGAGAAGCCAGGTATTCATAGTTCTCAAATGCATCCATCCAGATGTCCCAATTCCACGTCTCAGGGTCTCAATCATTCCCTGTTGGTGACCTAACTTTAACTTAGGAGATTTTTCAAGGCTATAGGCTCAACCTTACCTTTACTCCTATAGTCTCAGAGAACCTTAGACTCTGGGTCTAATTTTCAGCATAGTCAAACTATGGTTCCAGGAGACACAGCTATCTTTAAAAGCTGCTAGGAGGCCTTCTGATTTTCACAGTGTACTCTGTATTGATAGCTGATTAACAGAGACTGCCATTTTCTTCAAGGTTTCCAAGGCAGTTAACAAAAGGCAGCCATCACCACAATACTTGTAATTACCCTTGCCTCTATACCTAGAGGTGCTAGTGTTAATGCACGCCTCAGTGCAGCCCACTCCTCTGAACCACATCCCAGTCCACCACTGACAGTCTTAGTAACAGGATGCTGTCTGACTAGGGGGGAGATCCAGTTTCAGAATCTCACTGAGGGTCTGCTGTCTAGGTCTCCTTCTCATACCGACTGACTTGGTTTGTGTGCCTGAAAGCGGAGCCTGAGGCAGGGATTTGGGTAAAAAGGTAGATTACTCAGGAGCAAGGGTGGAGGGGAGGAGGGAAGGTGAGACGAGGGGGTGTTCCTGAGACTGATGCTGTGAGCAATGGGAGCCCCACTTCCTAGGACTTTCATGCAGCACACAGAATACCTCAGAGCTCCCTCAGCTCTCATGACCCTTCTGTTGAGGGTTCCTCCTGGGGGACTCCATCTGTCCTGTAATTCTGGTCTCACTTGAGCAAAGACAGAAGGGACATTTCTGCCCTGGGGCAGAAAATAGAAAGCCAGGGCCCAACCATGCTTCAGGTGGTATGCTGTCAGTGCAAGGGGAGGCTGGGCCTGCACACTACTGTCCACTGCAGCCATGGCTTAAATCCGAGGTGGGCTGAAGTTTTGTGACCTGCATGAGAGATCACATGGTCCTTGTCTTAGTCATCGTCATCATTATCATTGGGTATACCACCTATAGAACAAGGGCAGGGTATTGTAAATAATAGAGTCATCAAAAAGTGCATGGGCAGGAAGAGGAGAATGATTCTAGAGAGGAGGCCTGCATGGAAGAAGTGGTTTTTCATGGAATCTTTAAGACAATCTTTAGGATTTCATTGGGTAAAGAAGTCACCTAAGTGTGGTGGCCCATGCCTGGCCACACCCCTGTAATCCCAGAGCTTTGGGAGGCAGAAGCTGGTGGATCACTTGAGACCAGGAGTTGGAGACCAGCCTGGGAAACATAGTGAGACTCCATCTCTACAAAAATTTAAAAAAAATTAGCCAGGTGTGGTGGTGTGCACCTGTAGTCCTAGCTACTTGGGAGACTGAAGTGGGAGGATCGCTTGAGCCCAGGAGTTTGTCATGCCACTGTGCTCAAGCCTGGGTGACAGAGAGACACTGTCTCAAAAAGAAAAAAGAAAAGAAAAGAATTCAAGGCAAAACACTCCAGGGGAGGAAAACATAATAAACACTGGATATAGTGATGGGGGTGCAGTGATGAGATGCAGGAGTGGAGGTACAGTGATGGGGTGCAGTGATGAGATACAGAGATGGGATGCAGTGATAGGGTGCAGTCATGGGCTTGCAGGGATGGGAGATAGTGGCCTGCAGAGGTGGGGTACAGTGATGAAGTATATTGGTGAGAGTTCAGTGGTAGGGCGCAGTAATGGGGGTACAGTGATGTAGTACAATGGTGGGGTTGCAGTGATGGAATGCAGTGATGCAGTGCAGTGGTGGGGTGCAGTGGTGGAGGTGCAGTGGTGAGGTACACTGTTAGGGGTACAGTGGTAGGGTGCAGTGATGGGGTGCAGTGATGGAGTGCAGCAATGGACTATAGAAATGGGGAGCATTGGTGGAGTGCAGTGGTGGGGTGCAGTGATGGGGTAGCAGTGGAGGTGCAATGGTGGGGTGCAGTGGTGGGGTGCAGTGGTAGGGTACAGCGATGGGATAATGATGGAGGTGCAGTGATGGGGTGCAGTGATGTGGGTGCAGTGATGGGGTGCAGCAATGGGGTGCAGTGATGGGGTGAAGTGGTGGGATACAGTGATGGGGTGCAGCAATGGGCTGTAGAAATGGGGTGCAGTGATGGGGTGCAGTGGGAGGTGCAGTGATGGGGTGCAGTGGTAGGGTGCAGTGATGGTGGTTAAATGGTGGGGGTGCAGTGGTGGGATGCAGTGATGGAGGTAGTGGTGGGGGTGCAGTGATGGGTGTAGTGATGGAGTGCAGTGGTAGGGTACAGCGATGGGTTAATGGTGGAGGTGCAGTGATGGGGTTCAGTGGTGAGATGCAGTGGTGGTGTGCAGTGGTGGGGGTGCAGTCATGGGGTGCTGCAATGGGGTGTAGTGATGGGTGCAGTGGTGGGATGCAGAGATGAGGTGCAGCAATGGGCTGTAGAAATGGGGTGCAGTGGTGGGGTGCAGTGATGGGGTGCAGTGGTGGGGGTAGTGGTGGGGGTACAGTGATGGGGTAGCAGTGGGGTTGCAATGAGGCATTAGTTTGGAATTGTAGAATGGAGCCAGATGAGAAAAGATTTGAAGGTCAAGTTAAAATGTTTGGGTTTAATATGAATGTGAGAGGTGTTTGGAGAAACAGGTTATGAGATGGAAGCTCTAAGGCTTCCCAGCTGTGGGTCCATGTGTGGTCTGTGGGGCATTGCCCGGTGACCTGATTCCAGCACCAGAGCACCACTCCTTTGTTTTGTCCACCTACAGGCTGGTTTCCACCCTGAGGCAGCTGCCATTGCTCTTGTACCTTCAAGGTTCCTTTAGCCTCCCTTTATGAGAATTCAAAAGTGGGCTTTGATTTTTACCACCTATCAGCAGGGGTAGATTAACCTATGTTTTAAGCCAAGCTGCTTAAAGAACAAGCCCTTAGCCCTCATCTTGGTTTTCTCCCTCAGGGTTTCAGCAGAGCAATCTGGGAGAACAGGGAGAGCCTATCAAAGGTCTGTGTCTCCCAGGGGCCATCCAGGCCACTGGCCTGTGCTACTAATGGGGACATCAAGGTCCAAGGAGGTGATGTCAAGTGGTTATTCAGCTTTCTAGAAGATTGAGTAATTTTTCATGGCCCAATAACTGCAGAAGCCAGCACATCCTCCCAGATCTTTCTATTGCCGCTCCTTTCCTACTCCCTCCTCCCCGAATTGCAAAGCCTGCAGCTCGAGGGCAGGAAACCTGGGCTTTAGTTCCAGCTGTTCTGCTTCTCAGCTTTGTGATATTGGACCAGTAATCCTACCTTGCAAAATATCAGTTTCCTCATCTACAAAATGAGACTAATCACATTAAATTAGGTAATAGATGCAAATAAAGCATTTAGCCCAGGGTCTGGTACCTGTAAGGCATCCTATAAATGAAGTCTAGAGGCATTGATTCCTTACATTATCAGTGTTCCTCACAGAGTAGGTCCTGTGCATTAGGGGCCTGCGACAGAAGTGGTACCTAGAGAGAACAGCAAATAGAAGACATTTCATTAGGAAACCATTTCCTCTATAGTTCTCTTTGCATTCTGATTTTGTGGAAGAGTAAGACTTTGGTGGTATTATAGCATGTCATATATATATATATATACACACACACACATACATATATATACACACACACATATATATATACACACACACACACATATGTATACATGTAATGCTTGTTAATTTCCATTTTTAGCAAGGAGAATTCTTCGCCTCTCTGGTTAATGATAGACAATTACATCTAACTCAATCTGGTAAAGTCCTATTCAGTAATTTAAACAGTTTCTTTAGATAGCATAATCACTTCAAATAAATCCATAGCCTCTCATATTTGCTCCCCACCCCACCCGCACTCCTTGCCAAGATGGTGTCTGGCTGTGTGAGTTATGGGATGCTAATAGGACCACATGAGTGGGAGGGCAGAGGGAGCTTGGACCCACTTGCAGAAGTCCTTGCTTTGTTGTGGTCTCCACAGCAACGTCCCACTGCCGGGGCTCCTGGGAGGAGGATGAATTCTTAAGTGGTGAGCTCATGGTCTGTCCTCTCATCTTGATCAAAGCCCACTGATTCCCCCTGACTGACTCAGTGCCCTACCTCACCCTGCCCAGTGCTCAACACTGTGCTCCAGCACAGGCCAGGTTGTGGTTTCACTCTGTTCTCGAGTCCATGAAGCACCTCTGTAGCCCCCTGCCTTCCTCCTCCTCTAGCTCCCAGCCAGGTTGGTAGTCACCTCCAAGTTTTCTTCGAAGCCACACGGTGATGTCTGGATCAATTTCAAGGAATTTGGGATCCAAGGGAAATAGGACCACCCCCTGAGATCTCTCTTAGCCCAACCACTTCTGCTCTGCTGTGGCTGCCCCAGGTTGGTTGAGATGTGGAACCCTTCTGTCACTATCCTCCTGGAGAACCCTTCACTACTTAGCACACATTTCATCCTTAGCACACATTTCAGCCCATCACTGCACCCCATCACTTTACCTCATCGCTGTATCCCTTTAGGACCTATGTCTAAGAGGGGGAGTCAGGGCACTTTGCATCACACATGCTTTCCCTACCTCTGTTCCCTTCTCCTTTCCAAAATCCACTGTACAGAAAGGCCGGATTTTCCTGTTTGTCTTACTTTGGGGATCTTCTCCACCATACACCACCCTTTCGTTGTAATGGTTGCTAGAGGCAAAGGGAATGTTTTGTGGTATAGAAATGCAACATATATTGGCTTGCTCTTCCCAAAAGCTCTTTCTTATTGCACTAGGTAGATACAATTTTCTTTAATAACAGCTTTTAAAAAATGTCAATTTAAAGAAAAAAAATCAAGTAAATTGATAGTCAATTTGGTAGTGGGAATGGTACAAATTGTGAAGACAGAAGGTCTAGGGCTGAGCTTTGGGAAGCCACAGGGCACAAGTAAGAAGCTGTGATGAATATGTACATGGAAAAGTCCTAGGTGTACTCCAAGGAGGAAGACAGTCATGGCTACAATTTGTTAGAAAATAAGAGAGGTTGGAAAAGCAAAGCACTAAAAAGTTCAGGAGAATCAGGGGAAGGTTCTCGGAAGAGGTGGCAGTTAAATTGGATTTTAAAGAAGAAGCTGGAGAAGAAAGACATCCAAAATGGGGGTGGTGGTGTTGGCAACAAGCTAGTTTGTGTGAAGTGCTTTAAAACAGTTGGGTGAGCAGTGGTGTACAGACTTGATAATATTTCTGGTCAGATGAAGGGACAGATTTGAAGGCCAGGGAGAATCTTTTCGGTGGCAACTATGAAGGGCCAGAGGGGAAATAATATAATCGAAGAAGCCTCAAGGTTGCCAAGGAGGCTGTAGACCAAATGGCCATTGAAGACTCTTGTTGGCAGGGCCAGCCGGGCTGCTTGTCTGAGCTGGCAGTGCTTGTGCCTTCAGAGCCACTCGCTTGTCCCAGCAGCAACCTTCTTCCTCTTCTCAGAAACTTCTCAGCTTCTCTGACCTGCACTGTGTCTTTCTGGCATCACAGGCAGGTCTGGAAACCTCATTCATCCTTGGGTCTCTAGAACTCATAATCTTAAAATGTCTTGCCTGGTCTGGAATGTCTTTTCTGTTTCCCCCATCCCGGAAGTCCAAAGCCTATCAAATTATCTTTCCCCAGCTCAATAGTTAATCATCAGCTTCTTATGTAAATCAGAACAGGAAAGTCTTGCTTAGTCAATTCCTTTGAGAATATTGTTCTGATGCTGATCTTCAGTAACTCTGCTGCCTCTGCCTGCCTATTCAGCATTTGCCTGTTAACAGGAAGCTCTTTCTGGCTCCCAACTGAAGCTCTCTGAGGCCAGCAGCCGCCGTCAATGTTCACAGAGTGCAGGCAGGCAGCCAAATGAGTGGGAATTGGGTGCACCCAGGCCAGATCCTAATTTGGGCTATCTGGGTCCTTGCAGCCCCCACCAAAGGTGAGATATCCAATGGGAAAGGAGGGCTCTCAGAAGATGGGGTGGGTGAGGATTTTCCACTGGTAGAAATGAAGTTATTCTTCAGAGGTCTCTGAGGGCCAGTGGAGAGCTATGTAGTACTTTGATGGCATCAGTATTCTGCTGTTGCCGAGAACCTAGGACCAGAGCTTCCTTCTTGGGAGTGGGTAGCGCACAGAAGATCCTGGTTCTGCCTTTGGGTTGCTCACACCCTGCAAGGGGTTTAGAGGGGCTCCATCCTGAGCACTGGAGAAGCGTGAGGAACAGAGCCTGTGCTTCTGCACTCCTGGCTGCGGCGACAGGACTTTCAGTAATGAAATGACATTAGAAACAGTGCTAAGACACCCGGGTTTTGCTAAGTAAGTAGCTGGGCAGTTTCCTTCCCAAGGCTCCACGTTCTGTGTGGTGACTGAGACCCCTGCATGCCCAGTCTCCCAAAGTGCCATCTTTATGCTCCTGGAAGTAGACGAGTTGATTTCAGGAAGTATCTGCATGAGAATTTTAAATTTTCACCCATGAATATTCATGTGTATTCAAAAGCATATACCTAACTCACCAAAATCACAATTCCATAAATGTCATTACTTGGAATTCTTCTAGGTAAAATTTTAAAAGGAGTTTATTGGAATTAAATTTTAAGAAAAAAAAAAAAGAAGCCAGCAATCATGCAGGTGCTGCACAGATATGCCAGCAGTGGTGCTGGAGGGTGTGGAGTGACAGAAGTGTAGGAACCCCTGGGAAGATGAGTTTGTGGCATCCCAGGATCTACAGAGTTCGGTATATGTCAATCCTGTAGAAAGAAAGCGCTCTCAGCAGAAGGGAGATGGGTTTCTGAGTGAATGGGGGAAAATTTTGTTGCTAGGTACTGCTGGGCTCCTAGGAGAAACTAAGTCAGTGGTTTCATGGGGGTGACTTCTACAGCAATCTTGGAAAAAGCCATGGAACTGGATTCATGGAGAGGGAACCTGGATACCACCAGCTGCACAACTTCTGAGTGAAGGAAGCACATCCCCACTGGGGAGCTCCAGACTGGGTGGGCCATTGCCCTGCCTGTCCCCAGCCTGCTCCTGATTCCTCCCATGTGTTCCCGCAGGGCCTTCTGCTGAAGGGCCACAGAGGAACACCAGGCTGGGATGGATTCAGGGCAAGCAAGTCACTGTGCTGGGAAGCCCTGTGCCTGTGAACGTGTTCCTCGGAGTCCCCTTTGCTGCTCCCCCGCTGGGATCCCTGCGATTTACGAACCCGCAGCCTGCATCGCCCTGGGATAACTTGCGAGAAGCCACCTCCTACCCTAATTTGTAAGACCAGGTTCGGGCCCACGGGTGGTTTGTGACTCTGGGAGTGGCAGGAATTCAGGTCATGCAGCCCAGTGTGAAAGAAGAGGGATTGGCATGGATGGGGGAGGAGGGAGAGAGAGGGCTTGAGACTCGGGCGAGTGGTTTAGTAATCCCCTGACTCCTAAACTGGCTGATGGCCAGGTCACTGGAGGCATCTTTAAAAATATACAGATTCTCCAAGCTCCCTTCTGAACTTTCTGAATCAGAATATCCCGAGCTGAGCCCAGGAAACTATTATCTGAACGCTTTTTAGAGACTCTGATCACCAGCCAGTTTTTTTTAGAAGTGCTGAAATGGGCGTACTGAGTCCTTTGGTCAGAAGGGACTGTCTAGGTATCTTCTTGTGACCTCTCACCCAAGCCTGGCTCTATGGTCAGACTGGGTGAGGGTTTTATTGAGAAGAACCACACTAGAAGGGTGTTAGCTCCAGCTGTCAAAACGGTGCCTGATGCAATACCTAGTCCATGGTGAACTCCATAAATACCCGTGGAATGAACATGTGGATGTGTCTCTGTGACGCAGGGACTCTGGGAGGTAAGGAGCTCCTGGTCACTGCAGATTTCCAAGCTCGGTTAGGTAACCAGTTACCAGGTTAATTGTGGAGGGGTGAGGTGAGACTTACTGGGTGGGCAGTGAGACTTGAAAATCCCCTAGAATCTTCCAACTCTTTAGATTCTGTCAAGCTCTCAGGTTGGGCCACATGGGTTCCTGGCAGAAGAAATTCTGGTGCCAGGATATTCCCTAAGCCACAGAAGATGACCCCATGTGGTCCAAGGACTGAGGACATCAAGCTGAAACTCATTTGTTTGTGCGTTCATTCATTCATCCAACTAATATTCATTGCGAACCAACTTGATAACTGGCTCTCCATTAAGCTTGGGGACGCCGCAGGGGTTGAGTCACAGCTGTCATCATGGAGCATGGAGAGGGGTGATGGTGGCAGGAACGTAAACAGTAATTGACAGCTAAAATATAAGATGGCAAGGGCAACCATTAGGGTGTCAGGGAAGGGTGCTGAGGGGAAACAAAGACCCACCTGGACTAGCTTTGATGGGAGGTCAGAGACGGCTTTGCTGAAAGCGCTGAGGCCTGATCAACAACATACAAAGGGGCAAGGAGGCATAAACACCTGTCAGGAGAAGACGTGCAGCAATATTGCACACTATTCTATTAAGAATTGATTGCGTACACAGTATGGTAGAAGCATTCACATTTACATCCTTGCTTAATCTTACGGTGTATCATGCTCTGTGCTGGTGCTCTGAGGTACAGAGGTGACTAAAACAGAGTCTTAGGCTTTTAGCTGCTCACAGTTGAGCTGGGGATGATGATAATGCACACGCACAACCTCAGGACAAGTTCTGGAAAAGAATGCAAAGTAGGTGGGTGTTTCCGAAGAAGAGGTATGGTAGAACTGGAGAAATCTCAGAAGGCTTCTGGGAGGAGGTGGCAAGTTGGAGTGACTCTAAAACAAAGGGAAGAATGTGAGCACGCAGATACAGGGAGAGAGCAGTCGAGGCAAGGGCCCGGCTTGAGCAAAGCCTGGGTGCAGGAGTCTCCCTGCCAGTCTATCCTGGGTGGTTCCAGGTAGAGAGGCCTGGAAATGTTCCTTTGCGCATCTGGGGACAGAATAGGGAGCCGCAGGGGCAAAGCCCTTGTTATTCGACTATGTCCTGCCCTCTACAGTTTGGGGAATTGTTGGGCCAGCTTGGGTCGTTATGTGTGTCTATATTATGGTGGTGGCATAGGAGGGTGGTGTAGGCATGGGAGGGTGGTGGGGGTAATGGTGCAATTATTCTACACCATGTGCTTTCCTACCCAGGAACCAGATCAATGAGAATTATAATTTGCTTGCTTGTTTGTTTTGGAAACCATGGGGGTTTGGGCATGATTGGACTTTGTACCGGTAGCTGCCTCTTCTGCTCAGGCAGAGGAGACGGCCAGGCCTCCCCGCTGTCAGAAGAACTGGCCCTTCCCAGGCAAGTTTGCTGATAACTTTTTCTGAGGGTTTTCTCCTCTCCTTCTCCAAGGTGCCTCCAGAACTCAGAGTGGCTGCTCTTAGATCAACACATGCTCAAGGTGCATTACCCGAAATTCGGAGTGTCAGAAGACTGCCTCTACCTGAACATCTATGCGCCTGCCCACGCCGATACAGGCTCCAAGCTCCCCGTAAGGCTGCCTGCTGTGTGCTTCGGGCTCTAGCTAGCAGGACCTTGGCCTGGGATCCAGGCAGTGCAGCTACATGTCTGGAATTGGAACTACCCCCTGTTGGGTAAAAGGGAAATGTAATCACATCAACAATTTTTAAAAATCATTCGAATGATAGATTCACATGATCAGTTTTTCTGATTGATTCTTTATTGGCAGTGCCTTAACTTTTAATTTTTATTTTGTTTTGTTTTCCCCTCTGTTGCGTATTTAGTGACCTGTAAGCTTTCAGAAAAGACACTGCTTAAAAGGAATCTGACTTTTTTCTTAAATTTGAGGTATCTTTTTTCAAAAAGAATAATTTTATCCTCCAACTTTTCTGTTTATAATGAAGACAGTCAGGTAATCATGTTAAGTGTTTCATTTAAGAATATAAAATATCCCCGTGTCAGTAAGTGGGGGAAAGGCATGTTCTATGTTTTAGCCACACCCTCTCATCCTCTTCTCTTCCTCATGCCTCTGCCAGGGGAAACTGGCTGTCTTGTATCATAACAGTAATGTCTATTAAATGCTTGCTGTGTGCCAGGCACAGTACATGATCTGATTTAACTCCCATGCTAACCCAGTGGGTAAGGACGATTTGGACCCATTCCACAGATGGAGAAGACGAGGCACAGGAAGGGCATAAGTGACTTGCTCCATGTTGTACACACAGTAGGCACTAGATTCTGGCACCAAAGCCAGAGGTTTGTCCACCTCCCCTTTCCTCAGTGGCTTTCTTCTCTTTACCTGCCCCGAAGGCTGTAATCTCTAATATGACCTTAAGAAAGAGAATGGAAGGGATTTGTTATTAAATATATAAATAGAGATAATGCCATTTGAATGTTTTATGTTCCCTGATCCCAATTTTTCTAATCAATAAAAATTTTACTCTTCCCTCTTTTTTTTGGGACAGAGTCTTGCTCTGTTGCCCAGGCTGGAGTGCAGTTGTGCAAACTTGGCTCACTGCGACCTTTGCCATCCGGGCTCAAGGGATTCCTGTGCCTCAGCCTCCCAAGTAGCTGGGATTACAGGTGCCTGCCACCATACCTGGCTAATTTTTTGTTTAGTAGAGACAGGCTTTCACCATATTGCCCAGGGTGGTCTTGAACTCCTGAGCTCAGGCAATCCACCCACGTCAACCTCCCAAAAGTGTTGGGATTACAGGCGTGAGCCACTGTGCCTGACCCTTCCTCTTTCTCTTCCTTCTTTCTTCATTTTTCATCCTTTCTCCTCCTCCTCTTCCTCCTTCCTCCTTCTCCCTTCCTCTTCCTCTTTCTTCTTCTCCTTCTCCTCTTTTTCTTCCCCCTCCTCCTCTCACCTCCTCCATTCCTCTTTTCTCCCCTCCCCTCCTCTCTTCTTTCTGAAGGTAGAGAGCTTTTCTCTGAAACACCTTGGGCTGCTTTTGCTCTTATACATGGCTTACAATGGTTTCCATCTTCCCGTGGGTCACAGGCTCACTGGTATTTAGTGAACAATTTCTGAGCACTTGAAACTTGAAATGTGCTATTGCTCATTGTTCTATGAGCTTTAGATGCAGAATTTTGTTTAAACCTCATGATAACTTCATAAGTGAGATACTTTCCTTCTTCACATTTTACAGATGAGAAAAATGAGCCTTAGGCTAAGTAATCTTTCCAAGGTCACACAGCTAGTCAGTGGCAGAGCTGGGAGTCAAATCGAGGCACTCAGGTGCCAGAGCCCACATGCTTAACCCTGGGCCTTCTTCAAATGACAAAACCTCGCACCCTGCTTAGCAAGTGGGACATTTATATTTCACCTTAAGAACGTGTGCCTCAAACTGCATGGGGAGGGGAGGTGGTGCCTGGTGGGCTGACTGGATGCTCTTCTCCCCTCCTCAGGTCTTGGTGTGGTTCCCAGGAGGTGCCTTCAAGACTGGCTCAGCCTCCATCTTTGATGGGTCCGCCCTGGCTGCCTATGAGGACGTGCTGGTTGTGGTCGTCCAGTACCGGCTAGGAATATTTGGTTTCTTCACGTGAGTCTCTCCAAATGATGGACATCCCAGATCCCCAAAGGGCAGCAGTGCAGTAGCCATAGACAGTGCCCAGCAACCTAAGAAGGAGCGAGCCTTCCGGGACAATGAACAAAACTGGCCCTAATTACTTAGGTAATTTTTGCAGCTGTAGCAGATAAATCCCAAAATGTTGGTGGCTTGAAACAATAAAAATCTCTTTTTCACTTGGGTAAAATTTAATTGAGCATCCCTGATCGGCAGACATTCTTCCTCATGGTCAACCAGGGATCTGGCTCATCACATCTTGAGCTCTGATGTGGATTCTTTAGGGCCTCGATCTTCTGCATTTGGTGGGTGGACCGAGACAGCATGGAGGATCATGCAATGGAGGGTCTCCTGGCCCAGCCTGCAGGTGGCACTTGTCACTTCTGTTCACTCGCCATTGGCAGAACTCAGTCACATGGCCACATCCAGCTGCAAGCGAGCTGGGGCCATGTAGCCCCACTGTGTGCCCTGGAAGAACAGGACACTGTTTGTGTGAGCAGTCGGTGGTGTCTACCTGAGCCTCACCCCAGGGCTTCTCGAACGCTCACCTGAGAATCATCACTCTATCACAGTGGCTTCCCTCCTCCAATCACGCCTAACATGTACTGGGCTTTCACTGAACCAGCCATGGGGCTGTGCACTTGCCATGCATTATTTCAACTCACCCTCAAAATAATCCTTCAAGGAAGGTTCTCTGTTGTTATTCTCATTTCACAGCTGGAAAATGGAGGCCCAGAGAGGCCAAACAACTTCCCAGGGGTCACAAAACAGAGCTAGGTCTCTTGACTGCTTCTATTATCCTGTCTAAGACATGGCAGGAGAAGTCCTGATGAGGGTCCAATGTAAACAAAGAGGAGAAGTGAGAGGTGGGGCCAGGATTATGCTTGCGGGTCACTGTCACATACTATGGTAAAGGCAGCAATGATTCAAATATGAATCCTGCCTTACAGAGGCTCCTGACTATGGGAGAGATAATGCAGGGACAAAAATATCCACATTACCAAGAAGGACATGGTTAATTCTCCAAGAGTGAGAGGCCATGGAGCTGTGGAAACAGAGGAGGGAGTTGCAAGGGATCAGGGAGGCTTCAGAGAGGGGTGACATTGGAGTTGCACCAGAAGGATGTGGTTGGGCTTGAGGAGAAGGGGTTCAGAGAACATGTGCTTGGCAAAGGGTGCTACCTGTGCAAAAACTAGGAAGTTGGGAGGGAGGTAGCAACACATGGGGATGAAGCAATACTTTTGCAGACTGCACTGGGCCTGTAGCCCTGGAATGTAGCTCTGGGAGTGCTTTGCAGGCAGGAGAGGCTGACGGGGTGCCCTGACCAGAGTAATTACACTTCTAGCTGCTCTATATATTAGGATTCTGCATAAGATTCCTTTGGTAGAAGAGCTTTCAATAATTGCTTATCGTATCTGGTTTTGATCATAGGTAGATGAAGCTACAGCAGGAGATGGATGCGGGAAGGCAAGGACAGGCCTGATAGGGAAAGGCCTTGAATGCCAGGCCATACATGGAGTTTTGGCTTTATCCAACACAGATTGAGGACCAGGAGTACCTTTCACAGAGTAGTGTACCAGGAACCTCACTCTGGAGCAGAGTGGAGGCTGAGCCAGGGGTGCCCAGCTGCAGATAGGGAGCCCCACTGGGAGGCACTGTCTTGATGCAGGCCATGGGGTCATTCAACCACAAAAGCAATAGCTAACATGTATATAACGTGAATATGACATGCTTATTTTCTGCCTGGCACTGTCAATCTTCACAACCATGTGGAGTGGGCACTATCATTATCCCCATTTTAGACATGAGAAGCATTGAGGCAAAGCAGGTTAAGTGATTTGCCCAAGGTCACCCAGATAATAAGTGGCCAGGCTGTGAATCCTGTCCTCGAGGCTGAGATAGTAACCACTAAGGTATAATGCTTCTCAGGATAAACAGAGATGGAGAAACGGGGACCAGGGTGGGAGCCACAGTAGAATGGAGGTAAAATTGGCAGGGCTTGACTCTTGAGCAGGGGCCTGGGAGAGAGAAGGTGGAGTGAGAGCCAGCTCAGTGGTCATAGACAGTGGAGGGGACCCAGGGGAAGGAGCAGTCTGGAGAACTGGAAAATGGAGGGGAGTAGAATGTGCCCCAGGGTGACGTGCACTGCATGCATGCTTTCGGTCTAGACATTTCTTTGGTTCTATGGCATTTCCACTTGTTTCATTTGTTCTCCCATTAATCCCATCCCGGGAAACATGCAATTGTGCAGGGGCAGCAGCATGGGGGTGTGGGATCCCAAAACTGCAGCTTTCTAGCTCTTGGGCAAGGGGGTTTAGCCTCTCTGTGCCTGAATTAAAGAGTTGATGTATCCGTTGGTTTCCTGACAGCAGGCTCACAGGTTTAGTGGAAGGGAGCTGGCATGAGCTGCTGCTGTGGAGAAAAGCAGCCTCTGCCCAAACACTTCCCAGCAGAGAGGGAGCACGGGGTTGGGGGATAAACATCGCAGTCTCTCTCTAGCCCACCCTCATGGCACACAGCTGAGGCCTGGGTGATGTCATTCCTAGAGGTCAGCTTTTGAGGGGCAGAGCAGAGAAGGGTGGAGAAGACCCAAAAAAGCAAAGGGAGAAAACCCAGCACCACCTACCTCATAGGTGTGAGGGTTGTAGGAGTATTAGCCTTAAAGCCCTTAGAACAGTGTCTGGTACATGCTGCAGCTGCTGTTATTGTTTTTTGTTTGTTTGTTTATTTTTTTATTTTTATTTTTTTTGAGACAGAGCCTCACTCTATTGCCCAGGCTGGAGTGCAGTGGCATGATCTCAGCTCACTGCAAGCTCCGCCTCCTGGGGTCAAGCCATTCTCCTGCCTCAGCCTCCCGAATAACTGGGACTACAGGCGCCTGCCACCGTGTCCAGCTAATTTTTTTTTTTTTTTTTTTTTTTTTTTTTTTTTTTTTTTTTTTTTTTTTTTAGCAGAGACGGAGTTTCACCATATTAGTCAGGATGGTCTCGATCTCCTGACATCATGATCTGCCCGCCTCGGCCTCCCAAAGTGCTGGGATTACAGGCATGAGCCACCGTGCCTGGCCTGTTAATTGTTATTGTGACTACTATTAATTTAGTTTCATGGAAAATTCTGTGCTCAGGAAACTTCTTGCTTTCTAGTACAGATCAACTCTCAGGAATGGATTCATGGATTCCAGACAAGCCTGGGCAACACAGGATTTATGGATTGGGATTCATGGATTCTGAGGAACCTGTGAATACTTGAAATTGCAGCTACAATATTGAATGTGCATTTTTCTTAGGTGCATAGCTTTCATCAAATTCTCAAAGAAATCCAAATCTCAGCAAAGTGTGAGAACTGAGTCCGGTTTCCCCAGCTCCTCCAGGCCTCTGACTCTCCGCCCCATCCCCACTGACCCCTGCCCACAGCCTCTGCTGAGAACTTCCAGGGCTGTGGGAAACACACCATGGCTGACCAAGAATTCTCACCCTGCCTCTTGTCCTCAGCACATGGGATCAGCATGCTCCGGGGAACTGGGCCTTCAAGGACCAGGTGGCTGCTCTGTCCTGGGTCCAGAAGAACATCGAGTTCTTCGGTGGGGACCCCAGCTCTGTGACCATCTTTGGCGAGTCCGCGGGAGCCATAAGTGTTTCTAGTCTTGTGAGTTCTCTGCTTTGTGGTTTGAATGAATCTCAGTGCCGGAGGTTCCAAAAATGATGATGAGTCACTAACATTTGATTGTTGCCTTCATGTTGAACAAACCCTTTAATACACATTGTCTTTTTCAAGCCTCACAACACATTATGAGTTAGGGGCTCAGTCTCATTTCACATACAGGACAGCTGTCACTGGGAAAGTTTAAATAAATCACCTAAGGTCACATAGTGAGTAATAATTTGAGGAAAAATCCCTTATATTTGTAGAGGAGAAACCCTAGTATTCAATTGCCAGAATGGTAATCACTTGTTTAATAGGAAACTCAGCTAAGACATGAAATGCCAAAAGATACATGTAAATATTTTATTTTAATTTAAACCATAAAATGTATATTCCCTCACCAACAGTTTGATACAGGGCCTTATGTTTGCAGAGTTGGTCTGCTGACTCGATTTCCAACATGGATTGTCTTGCATAAACCACCTGCAAAATTCACTGTCCTCAAATTGCAGTTTCAGTTTCTTTACAGTGGGCGCAAACTTAAAGATGCCTGCAAAGCAGTCTGACTTTAGCGCATTTGGGATTTGTATACTTTTCCTGCAAATATTTTACTCCTTTCTTGTCCACACACAATTTGACAGCAATATAAATAGAGAGATGTTTATCTATATATCTATATCTATATCTATATATTTGTATAGTGTATTTTATATATATACATACACACACATATATGGTTTTTTTGTTTTGTTTTGTTTTGAGATGGAGTTTCGCTTTTGTTGCCCAGGCTGGAGTGCAATGGTGCAATCTAGGCTCACCAGAACCTCCGCCTCCTGGGTTCAACCAATTCTCTTGCCTCAGCCTCCTGAGTAGCTGGGATTACAGGCATGTGCCACCATGCCCAGCTAATTTTGTATTTTTAGTAGAGATGGGGTTTCTCCATGTTGGTCAGGCTGGTCTCAAACTCCCGACTTCAGGTGATCCGCCCACCTTGGGTTCCCAAAGTGCTGGGATTACAGGCGTGAGCCACCGTGTCCGGTGACAGCAATATTTTTTTTGAGACAAGTTCTCACTCTGTTGCCCAGGCTGGCAAGCAGTGGGGCGATCATAGTTCATTGCAGCCCAAACTCCTGGTCATAGGCAATCATCCTGCCTTAGCCTCCCAAGGAGCTAGGACTACAGGCATGCGCCACCATGCCCAGCTAATTCTTTTTTTTTATTTTTTAAAATTTTTTTAGAGATGGGGTCTAGCTATATTGCCCAGGATGGTCTTGAACTTCTGGGCTCAAGTGATCCTCTTGCTTTGGCTTCCCAAAGTGCTGGGATTACAGGCGTGAGCCACTATGCCTGGCCTGACAGCAATATTTTTTTAGCCATCCTTTATCAAGAATTTTTTTTCCAGACATAATTTGATTTTCTTTGTACACATACAGTTCATTTGTTCTCATGATATTTCATTGATTGTGTAATTACAATAACAAGTGAAATTGACAAAACAGGTTTGGAAGCAAACACACCTGATTCTTGGCAAGAAACTGGTGAGAAGAGAAATGTACAGAGGTGTTAGAAAATGGTCCACTGGCTCAGAATGGTCAGCATTTCCTTGGCATCAGTTGGCAGGTTAATTGCAGAAATCAGTAACATGGTGGTGAGTTAAGAGAGCTTCTGCTGAATAGCACTTGACAATATATGTGGTCTTTTTACATCTTCAAAATTACCTTCTAAGGTGGATTATATTAACCTAACTTTTCATATATTATAACAACCATTATTTCATGAGCAAAATTTGACCAGAACCTCTGTGAAGAGTTCTATGTTTATTACCTCCCCTGCTCCTCACAACAGTTTTGTGATACGGGCTCAATTTTTACTCCAGTTTTACAGGGGAGTGAACCGATACTTAGAAATATTAAGCAACTTGGCTGGGTGCGGTGGCTCACGCCTGTCATCCCAGCACTTTGGGAGGCTGAGGTGAGTGGTCAGGAGATTGAGACTATCCTGGCCAACATGGTGAAATCCCGTCTCTGCTAAAAATACAAAAATTAGCTGGGCGTGGTGGTGCGCACCTGTAATCTCAGCTACTCTGGAGGCTGAGGCAGGAGAATCACTTGAACCTGGGAGTCGGAGGTTGCAGTGAGGTGAGATCACGCCAGTGCACTCCAGCCTGGCCACAGAGCGAGTCTCCATCTCAAAAAAAAAAAAAGAAATAAAAAGAAATAAAAAAATATTAAGCAACTTGTCCGAGGTTACCTAGGTAGAAAGTGAAGGAGCTAGAAATCACATGCCTGAACATTTGACATCAAAGTCCATGAAGAACCAGGGGCTCAGAGAGGTTGAGTAACTTGCCCAAACCTTCATAGCTAGTCCTTTAACCCCTAAACCAGGGCTTTTTTCCCCTCTAAGCTTAGAGCTTTTAAGGAGGCTTCCTGGGAAGGTTTCTTTGAAGAGGGATGAATGGTATGTGTGTTGGTGGGGAGTAACCTTTCCTGGGTCTTCTGTGTTCTCTCTCCAGATACTGTCTCCCATGGCCAAAGGCTTATTCCACAAAGCCATCATGGAGAGTGGGGTGGCCATCATCCCTTACCTGGAGGCCCATGATTATGAGAAGAGTGAGGACGTACGTATACTGTTAACACCTTGCCACCTTCCTCTCCTCAGTTAGCAGAGAATGTGGTCAGGCACCTTCTCACCATGTGTTTGGCTTTCCTTAGTGACCATGCCCAAGGCACCTCATGCTGGCCCAAGGTGAACCTTGTTCCTCCGTGAAAGGTCTGGTTCAACAGGAAATGGGTCTAGCTACACAATGCCACACCACTGGTGTGCACAAGTGTGTGTGTATGTGCGTTATGGTTCTTATGTCTTACCCGTTATTCTTTGCTTGTGATAGATAAGTCAGTCCCCTGTATTCTATACAGTTCTTCTGTGCCTACGCTACTCTACTGGGAATGAATACCCAGGGCATTATGTTAAGAAAGATTCAGAGGCTGTTTCCAGCTCAGTGGGAAATAATGCTGTGACTGATTCATGTTGTCTGGCATGGGATTATAAGGGGCATCTATCCCACGATATTTGTCATCTGTCTCTTGTCTTAATTATCTACTAGATAGTGATGCCCTAGAGACCAGGATCTCTCTGTCCTTCAGGCCCCCAGCATAATACCTGGTATATATCAGGCAGCCATAAATGTTCCGGATGAATGAGTTAATGAATGAGCTGTTTCATTCAATGCATATTAATTAAGCACTGGGCTGTGCAGCCATCTCTTGAGTATTAATCATTTTTGTGGTAAATTTTCTTAAACATCTTACAGAAAATAACAGTATATACCAAGAGCAGAAACATAGAGTTATGCAATTTTAAAAAATTCCCTCAATACACAGAAATATTGATTTTGGTAACATTCTCCATAAAGCTATTTTCAGTTTGGGCATATATTTATTCATTTGACACACATCACTGAGTGCCCACTATTTTCCCTGCTCTGTTAGAACTTTGGGATTTATCAGTGGAGAAAGCACATCCTAAATTTGAGGGCAATATAATCTTTTTATCACCTATCCATGGATAGGATTAAATCCTGGAATCCATGGATAGGTTTGGGAAGCGGTTCCACAATTGTACCAGACTCCACATGCTTGCACGTTTTCCCAGGGAGAGGGTCTGTAACTTTGACTGGATTCTCAGAGTATCCATGACTCCCAGAAGATTAAGAACCACCACTTTCAGGGAGTGAGTTCTACAAATATGGAGGTTCAGTGACAAGGAAAGCAGATGTTCAGCAATGGGCCAGGCATGGAAGGTGGGGAACATCGAGCTTATAGGAGATTAGATGAGGAAGGGGTTTCTGGGGGCTGCAATGCCCTGAAAGGACATCGTGGAGGGAAGGAGTTGGGCCTTAAAGAATGAAAAGGATTGGTATAGAGGCAGGGAAAAAGACAGGTAGGACATTCCAGGCTGTGAGTGGGCCTGGTGCTTGGGCAGGGCTGACAAGCTGAGAATCTGATCTGGAGTCCTGCCTGTACTGACAATGAAGGAGCTTCCAAAGCTGCTCCTCGCTCTTGGTGTTTGTCTTCATTCAGCACCTCAAGGTTGGGCTTCTAGACTCCAGAGGAGCAAAATACCAATGCAGCCAAGCTCACAGGACTGATCTCTTTGTGACCAGGAATCTTGATTCCATTCCACAGCCACAGACTGACAAACTCCCATCTCCAGCTGTGGTGTTTACTAAAGATGACAAGGAGAGCCAGGCAAGAGACTGAGGGTGATGCAGTGGGAAACTGTCCACCATGTGCACCTTCAATTATAGGGGTGTGGGTCTAGGCAGTGTTAGCAGGATGGACTCATATATGGAGGGCCAGCCTGTGGCTGATTGGAGGGCATTTTCAAGCTTTCATTTTCCTAGATGCTTTCAATATCATGCTCTAACCCGGTCCTTCTCTACAAAATAGCTGCAGGTGGTTGCACATTTCTGTGGTAACAATGCGTCAGACTCTGAGGCCCTGCTGAGGTGCCTGAGGACAAAACCCTCCAAGGAGCTGCTGACCCTCAGCCAGGTGAGGACAGAGGGGGCAGTTTTGGGGGCAGGCTTGCCCTTCGAACGGAGAGATGAACAAATCCTACCCCTCTGCTATTTATTTGAATTTGGAACATAGAAAAGAGGAGGATTGAGGTACTTGGTAACAGCTGTAAAAAAATAAGTAGGGATATAGAACCCTTGTAGGTAATTTAAGAAAATTGTTGGGGCAGGGGTTCAACTTAGCCTGGAGAAGATTCAGCAAAGTACAAGGCTTGTCTCTAAGTCCCTGAAAGCATCTCACTGGAGAGAAGGACCACACTTGTTATGCATGCTTCCAGAAGCTGAAGTCAAAATCAGGAGCTGGAAGTTCTATTAGGAAGTCATTTTAGTTTTGTGTAACTGAAAACCTTCCAAGACCTCAGTTGTCTGGAAAAGGACTGGGCTCCTTTAGAAGGTAGTGAGATGCCCACCTCTCCAGGTATTCAAGCAAAATCTAGCTGACTGCTGACAAACTTTCAATCAGTGACAGTTAATTGGACCGGGTGATCTTTTATGTCCCTTCCAATCTTGAGAGCCTTTGATGACAGTCTTTGAATGGACAAGATCATTATCTTTCAGATTTCAATATTTGCTAGTTATGTGGTGTGTACTGAATGTCCACTCTGAGCCATGCTAGACTCAGTGAAATGGATAATAAGTCCTGGACCTGATGTGTCGAACTCTTCCATGTGCTCCTTTCTACCCAAATCTCAAAACAGAAACCTAAAGAAACCATGACTAGGGCTGAGTGTTGCTTTCTGAGACCCAAAAAATATCCAGGCATGTCCAAGGCACTGTGTCTCAGGGAGACACCTACAGTCTCCTACAACCCCTACAGTCCTGACCACTTCATCTACCACCATTTTTCCCTTTGCATTTGGCCAGTGGTTCTCAAACTTAAACATGCATCAGGATCACCTGGAGGACCAGCTACAAGAAGGTTCCTGGGCTACACCCCAACCCCAGAGTTTCTTATTGAGGAGCCTGAAGTGGGCCTGGAATGTGCATTTATAACAAGTTCCCAGATGATGCTGATGCTGCTGGTCTAGGAACCACACTTTGAGAATCTCTGGGCTAGGCTATATTAGTCTCTTCTCATGCTGCTAATAAAGACATACCTGAGACTGGGTAATTTATAAAGGAAAGAGGTTTAATAAACTCACAGTTCCACATGGCTGGGGAGGTCTCACAATCATGGTAGAGGGTGAAGGAAGAGCAAAGGCACATCTTACATGGTGGTGGGCAAAAAAAAAGCTTGTTCAGGGGAGCTCCCCTTTATAAAACCATCAGATCTCATGAGATTTATTCACTATCATGCAAATAGCATGGGAAAGACCTGCCCCCATGATTCAATTACCTCTCACCAGGTCCCTGCCACAACATGTGGGAATTATGGGAGCTATAATTTGAGATTTGGGTGGGGACACAGCCAAACCATATAACAGGCCACTGTTTTTCTTGGTAGATATTATTATTATTCCCATTTAGCAGATGAGAAAATAAGGCACAGACAAGTTTAGCCCCCTCACCCAAGTACATGGCAGAGCTTCCAGGGACTGATATATTGAGCTGGGCCCATAGTGTTTGTTTTTACTTTTTAAGTGCATTTAAGCCAGTGCTAGACTGGGTTGGCTTTTCTTGGCCAGGATTTGGGACAGCAGATTTTGTGAACAGAAATAGCTGATGATAGCTGATGATTTTTTTTTCTTCCTTATTACAGAAAACAAAGTCTTTCACTCGAGTGGTTGATGGTGCTTTCTTTCCTAATGAGCCTCTAGATCTATTGTCTCAGAAAGCATTTAAAGCAATTCCTTCCATCATCGGAGTCAATAACCACGAGTGTGGCTTCCTGCTGCCTATGGTAAGAATTCTGGCTGTCCATACTGCCACTCCCTCAAACCGTGATGCAGCTTTGGCTTCAACAGCTGGGCATTTCCACAGAAGACATCAGGTATTGTAAGTGCTGGAGCCCACCAGCCAAGCACACAGTGATCACCTTTACTCTCTCTGAAAGAGGGCAAGTGAGGACCGGGACAGTCACAGCAAGTGTCTGCCTTGCTTCTCATGTAATGAGGTTTAGGGTGGAAGAAACAACTGTATAAAAAGGAAAGAGGGGATCGGTCCATTTGGTCTTTGTTCAAACAGTATTATAAATGATTGTTTCCAAAAAATGCAGTTACCACTTCAGAGCTGACATTCAGATAGGTTTGAAAAACTTCAGTCCTTCAAATTTTTCACATCCAGCCTTGGTTCTGGCATTTTGACATCCCTGAATGCTAAGGTTGCATAAGCTGCAAAATTGTTAAATCATTTTATTTTTTCAACAAGTATGTACTGAGCATTTATTAGAGGCTTACAAAAACTGAGCATATGAGCTTTCTGGGAGCTTACACTCTGGTGGGGAGAGACAGATAAGACACGAGATTGAGAAGATGATTTCAGAGAGTGATAGATATATGAAGGACACAAGTGAGGAGAGAAGGTATCTTTAGGGAGGATAACAGGTGGTCAGGAAACGCTCTTCTAGGGAGTGATTGTTGAGCTGAGGCCCAGGTGCTGGGAAAGACCCATGATTTTTTGATTCCGTGGCATAGGAAGACTCTCTTCATTGGAAATAAACTTTTCATCTGTCCTCAGAGGAGTGGAGACTTCAAATTCCTAATACTGTTGAAGCTCATTTATATAGATTGGCCTCCTTATTTTAAGCTGGAGGAAATAGGGTTAAGAAATAAAGAGGTTTGTCAAATTACAAAGCTAGTTGTTGGCTGTCTAGAACCAGTCTCAAGTTCATTGAGTTGTGAAAGCATGTTCTGCCATTATTAATTTGACCTCCAGGGCAATGTTTTGAAGTGGGACTAGGGATTTTTGTCCTCATGTTGCAGACGAGGCCACTGAATCGCAGTTCATGGCTTAAGTAAGTCCTTTCAGTGATTTCTGGGTGTGTGTTAGAAAGAAGAAGGCAGGTGCTAGTGATGACAATCACCACTGTAACTACTGTAACCAGTTCCCCAGTGCCTTCCAGTGCCAAGCACAGGCTGTCCAAGCAACAACTTGAAAACAGGCATGATTTTCCCTATTTTAAAGAAACTGAGGCTCAGAGCAGCTAAAGTGGCTTTCTAACATCTCCTGGCTAGTAAGGAGACAGGGGTGTATAATTTTTATGCATTTAGGCTCTGCCTTTTTAATTTAATTTAATCTAATTTAATTTTTGAGTCAGAGTCTCTCTCTGTTGCTGAGGCTGGAGTGCAGTGGTGGATCTTGGCTCGCTGCAACCTCCACCTCCTGGGTCCAAGTGATTCTCCTGTCTCAGCCTATCCAGTAGCTGGGATTACAGGCACCCACCACCATGCCCAGCTAATTTTTTTTTGTATTTTTAGTGGAGACAGTGTTTCACCATGTTGGCCAGGCTGGTTTCCAACTCCTGACCTCAAGTGATCCACCTGCTTTGGCCTCCCAAAGTGCTGGAATTACAGGCATGGGCTGGTACCCAGCCTAGGCTCTCCCTTTAAATATCGAGTTCTCTGTTTACCTGCTGTGTGATATTAGGGGAGTTGCCCACCCTCTCTGAGCTTCCATTCCTTCATCTGTGAAATAGGGCTAATCTTAGCACCTGCCTCACAGGTATACATCAAACAGCCTGGCATATAGTCAGTGCTCAGTAAATGCTAGATATTGGAGTTATTCAAGTGACAGAATTTGCAGAGTTCAAAAGCCTGTGTGGGTGCTGAAATTCCATGTGAATTTGCAGTTAAACCCCTTGCTAGCTGTTAGAGGCCACAGGAAATCCCCAAGAAACAAATCCCAGCTCCTTAATGTACAGATAAGGTTTTTAGTAGTTAAAATATGCTTGTGGATAATTTAAATGACTCTGAGGATTCCCTGAGATTCCAGGAGGCAGGTACTGCCCTAGTATTCATTTAGGTATCAGCCCTAGTGAATCATTACCCCAAGATTTTCAGCAGAAAACATACCAAGAAAATTCATTTGTCAAGTGGATAGCGTTTCTGCTGCCTCACATTTTAAAGCGGTAATTTTGCCAGAAAGTGGTAATTTAACAAATAATCACAGGAAGCACTTACTACATACCAAGTACCATTGTAAGAGCTTTACAAATATCAACTCGCTCAGTTCTCATCACCACCCTCGCGGGAGGTACTTGTTGCAAACTCCATCTTACAGATGAGGAGCCTGAGGCAGGAAGAGTTGAGTCCCTTGCCAAGTTCTCAGCTGTTGAGGGCAGCTCAGGGAGCCTGTGTTTTCAGCCACTGCCTGACCTCCCACTGTGGCTTCTCTTCTTTGTGGCCCCACCCACAAAGGTCTTTAGAAGGAGAACAACAAACACCAGTTTGGAAATTTTCTGGCTTCTCTTTGAACTTGGTGTCAAAGCCAAGTTGGGGCCTCTCAGGCAGTCAGTGCTGCCATAATAAAATACCATAGACTGGGAGGCTTACACCACAGACATTCATGTTCTCACAGTTCTAGGGACTGGAAGTCCGAGGTCAAGGTGCTGATACCGCTTTGTGTGTGTAAACTTTCTTTTCTCATAAGGACATCAGCCAGATTGGATTAGGACCCACTCTAACAGCCACATTTTAACATAATCACCCCTTTAAAAGTACTAACTCCAAATAGTCACATTCTGAATTGCAGGGGGTTAAGGCTTCAACGTGTAAATTTTGAGGGGGCCACAATTAAGCCCATAATGGGAGCCTTCCCACAAGGTGGCCACTTGGGCCCCACAAGGCTGCAGGTGGAATGACAAGGAACAGCTGCCTTTTATCAAAAGTGAGAAGAAATTAACTATCTGACAAGCACACTGAGGCCACTTCCACATGTGGCTGCTTGGGCTTGAGGGCTCCTTATCCAACTTCCCCTGTGAAAGTCAGCTGCCCAGGCCCTTGGGGAGATGGGTTTACCTTCTCATGACCAGATGGCTTACAGAGGGCACGCTTCTCTCCACAGAAGGAGGCTCCTGAGATCCTCAGTGGCTCCAACAAGTCCCTTGCCCTCCATCTGATACAAAACATCCTGGTGAGTAGCTTGGGAGGCTGCAGTACTCCAGAGACACATGCACTTAACAGATAGCCCTAGGTCACACTCAGCAGGAGAAGCCAAGGGCACAGACACTCCTCACTCACTCAGTCATTCAATAGACCTTTACTAAGCATAGGTGTATTAGTCCACTCTTGCACTGCTATTAAGAAATACCTGAGACTGGGTAATTTATAAAGAAAAGGGGCTTAATTGGCTCATGATGCTGCAGGCTGTACAGGAAGCTTGATGCTGGCATCTGCTCAGCTTCTCGGGAGGCCTCAGGAAACTTACAATCATGGTGGAAGGTGCAGGGGAAGAAGTCATGTCTTACATGGCCAGAGCAGGAGGAAGAGAGAGAGGGAGGAGGTGCCACACACTTTTAAACAACCAAATCTCGTGAGAACTCTATCATGAGAACAGCACCAAAGGGGTGGTGCTAACCATTCATGAGAAACTGCCCCTACGATCCAATCACCTCCCATCAGGCCCCACCTCCAACATTAGAGATTACAATTCAACATGAGATTTGGTGGGGGACACAGGTCGAAACTATATAAATAGTCCCACAAACCCAATCCACAATCCCCGACCTGGAAGAGCTCCAAAAACCCAGAGGCTTTTTGTAACCCACCCAGCAGCCGAACCAGACCTTGACTGATTTGTGGCTATCAGTCATTTTTGTTCCCACACATTTATTCATTTTATTTATCCCACTATTCCGATGTTTCTCTGTGGATGCATTAATGTGGGTGTTGGGGTGTTTCCCCCACCCTGAGCCTGTGTCATAACACGCAGCATAGGTGCTGCATTATCTACCTACAGTCTGAAAAGCTCTGAATGCTGAAACACACATGGGACTGGGGATCTGTATTCACTACACACCAGCCAGGCATCAGGCCAGGTTCTGCAAGACCAGTCATTTACTCGTTCATTCACTCATTTATTGTTCCATCACTAATTCATTCATTCACTGCACAAACTTAGCAGTATCTGATCTTACTCTAGACACTAGGATATAGAGATGGATTGTTTTCCTTCCTTTCTTTTCTCCTTTTTCCATCTTCCTCTTTTTCCATAAACGTTTATTCAGTATGGACTCAGTGCCGATGTTCATTTTGTTCACTTGTCCATGGAACACATGTGTAGTGAGAGTCCACATGCCCCTGCACTTCCCTGGGCACTGGGGTGCAATGTGGGGTGGACAGAGATGACAAGACACTTCAATACAGTACACAGGAAGCACAGGGATGTCCAAGGCTCTGTGGTGCCCACAGGAGGGGACAGGCAGCTCTCTTGGGGAGAAGGATTTGGAGGATTAATGGAGCTTGTCTGGTGATGGAAGGGGTGGGTGGAGAAACTGGGAAGAACCAAGAGGACCAACTGGGAGCAGAGGGGTGTGAAGAGATCAGCTGAGGGTTGGCTGCAGCAGGAGAGAATGCTTTCAGCTGTTGTAAGCTATGTAATGAACATAGACTTCATCCTAAAGACTGAGAACAGAAGGAAGAAGGACATTTGATTTCTATTTTAGAAAAAGCCCTCTGAAACTGGGCATGGTGGCTCACATCTGCAGTTCCAGCACTTTGGGAGGCCAAGGCAGGAGGATTGCTTGAGCCCAGAAGTTCAAGAAAAGCCTGGGCAACACAGGGAGACCTTGTCTCTACAAAAAATAAAAAAATTAGCCAGGCCTGGTGGTGTGCATTTGTGGTGCCAGCTACTTGGGAGGCCAAGCAGGAGGATTGTTGAGCCTGGGAATTTGAAGCTGCAGGATCTCGCCACTGTACTCTAGCCTGGGCAACAGAGCGAGAGACTCTGTCTCAAAAAAAAAAAAAGAAAAAAAAAAAAGAAACACTACAGGCAGATATCCCTCAGGCCCCCTTGGTGGAGGGATGTTTGACGAGTTGCAGCTGTCTGATGATGAATTGGGACTAAGGTTTGAGAGATATTGATGATATAAGTTATACAGTGGAATTCTCAGGTGGATTGGAGATGGCCTCATGGAGAAGATGCTCATTGATCTAAGCCATAGGTGAGGGGAACAACTGAGCAGAAGGACATTTCAAGTAGAGTGGGAAGTAGGCTGTGCGGGAAAGTGCAAGAGGAATGGAAGGGCATGTGTTTCTCCTAGGCACAGTAGCATGCTAGGGGCTGCTTTTTAAACAGTAAGTAGTTCTCTGATGCAGAAGTCATAGTCTTACCCCAGAACCCTAGGATTTTGCACGCTGACTGTCCTATGAGGACTCACCTGAGACTCCACATAGCATCTATACCCACCTTGGACATCACCAGCACCATGGAGTCTGCTGGCTATATGGCCAAAGAGGCCAGGCCCTTATACCATAGACTGGACCTACTGCAGAGGCCTCCCTTGCTCTGGCCTGATTAAAAACCACCAGCCTCCTGAGGACCCAATAAACGAGTCTGAGCAGCATTCCCCAATGTGGTGTACACTTCCTTGCCTCCAAATTCCAAAGAAACCCATCAAGGGCTGCTGTCTTAGTGGTAGGGGTTTGAGCTGCAACACCTTTCCAGCATTTCCTAGAGCACCGGATCCCTGAATCTTCATGGAATTTACCATGCACTCTCTGCCATTAGTGCCTAGGGAAAGTTGAGAGGGAGAAGCCTGGGAGGCAGGCTGGTGCCAGGTCAGAGAAGCATCGAATGTCCTATTAAGGCGCTCAGCAATGGGGCCCAGGGGAAACAACAGGACTAAAGAACTGCTCTGGGGCAAGCAGCATACTTTTCTCTTCACATCTCATATAATCCTCCACATCCCTACAGAGGAGGAAACTGAGGCTCCAAGAGACCAACTAGCTTAGGTAAGATAATAGCTAAGGGGTGGAGGCAGCACTGGTACCAGGAACAGGGCTGGTTTCATGGATGTTCTGCCCGTGTAGTCACAGAGGACCTTGTTGCTCAGAAGGGTCCTACATTTGGTTTAGTGCTCCGCTGTTACCATCTTGAAATTCTTAATGATTTTTTGAACAAGCAGTTTATGTTTTTAATTTGCACTGAGCTCCACGATGATGCAGCCAGTTCTGCCCAGAAGTGACTCATTCTGAGACATGAGAGAGAAGCCTGTGGTCAGGAGCATGGGATTTGGATGCAAATAGACTTGTGAAAGAATCATGGTTCTTCCAGTTGGACCCAACCACTTCACCTCTCTAAGCCTCAGTTTCTTAATCTGTGAAACAGGGCTAGTTTTGATACTTGCATCATAGGGTTGCTGTGTGGGTTAAATGAAGCAATGTGGGTAAAGCATTCAGAATCATACCTGCACAGGTGAGTGTTTAACGTGTTGGCCATTGTGGTTGACCTGGATCTCCTAGGACTACGATATTTTTACAGCACATCCCGCCTCAGTATTTGCACCTTGTGGCTAATGAATACTTCCATGACAAGCACTCCCTGACTGAAATCCGAGACAGTCTTCTGGACTTGCTTGGAGATGTGTTCTTTGTGGTCCCTGCACTGATCACAGCTCGATATCACAGAGGTGAGTATCTGAGCATCCCGCTCCAGGACCATAGCCCAGTGAGGCTGGTGGCCACGGAAATCCATATTGTCTACTGACCGGCTGCCTTCTCTGCCTCTGTTCTATCATGGAAAGTGCATTTCCAGGTGTGTCTGGATGGAAACATGCCATGGGGACCTGCGTCATTCACCTGCCTTTCAGAGTTTGGGGATGTTGATCAGTTGTTTCTGTTTCTTCTCCTTCTTCAGGACCATGTATAAAATTCTCATCTCCCTATAATTTTCTGGGCGCCATCCCCAAGGATTTTTTCTTTCTAGAAATGTCTTCCCCAACATCTTAGCCATACGTAGTAATGGAACAAACATTACAGCTATAAGGAGTAATGGAACTCCTAAAGTAATCGACTTTAAATCAACTATTTTAAATGCAGCCAAATACTCCACCCCATAACATTAGATTCCACATTCTTCTCAAGTGCACATGCAACATCTTCCAGAATAAACCATATGTTAGATCACCAAACAAATCCCAATGAATGTAAAAGGATGGAAATCATGCAGAGTATCTTCTTCGACCACAAGGCAATGAAATTAGAAATCAATAACAAAAGGAAATCTGGAAAATTCACAAATATTTATAAATGAAATGGCATACTCTTTTTTACATTTTAAAAATTGTAGTTAAATATGCTTAATAAAAAATTTACCATTTTAACCATTTTAAGTGTATAGTTCAATGGTATCAAGTACATTCATATTGTTGTACAACCATCACCGCTATACATCTTCAGAACGTTTTTATCATCCCAAACTGAAAATCAGTACCTATTAAAAATAACTCCCCACCACTCCTTCCCCCAGACCCCAATAACCACCATTCTACTTTCTGTCTCTATGACTGACTTTTTAGTTACTTTAGTGACTTTAGTTACTCAATGTAAGTTGAATCATTCAATATTTGTCCTTTTGTCTGGCTTATTTCACGTAGCATAAGGTCTCAGGATTCCTATATGCTGTACTATGCATCAGAATTTCCTCCTTTTTTAAGGCTGACTAATGTTCCATTGTATGTATATATCACATTTTGTGTATCCATTTATTCATTAATGGACATTTGCGTTGTTTCCACCATTCAGCTATTGTGCAAGGAACAATTGGCTATTGGCTACATTTGCCTATTGGCTATAATGCTGCAATGAACATAGTTGTAGAAATATCTGTTCAAGTCCCTGTTTTCAGTTATTTGAGGTATATGCCAGAGGTAGAATTTCTGGATCATCTGTAATGCTATGTTTAATTTCTTTGAAGAACTGTCATGTTGTTCTCCACTGTGTCTGCACCATTTTACATTACTACCAGCAATGCACAAGGGGTGCAATTTCTCGACATCTTGACCAACATTTGTTATTTTCTTCTGTTGTTGTTTTTTAAATAATGACTATTCTAATGGGTTTGAAGTAGTATCTCATTATGGTTTTCATTTCCATTTTCCTAATTATTAGAGATGTTGAGCATCTTTTCATGTGCTTATTGGACATTTGTATATATGTTTTTGGAGAAACGTTTAAGACCCTTGCCCATTTTTGAATTGAGTTGTTTTTTGTTGCTGAGTTTTAAGAGTTCCTCATATATTGTGGAAATTAATCCCTTATGAGATATATGACTTGCAAATATTTTCTCCCATTCTGTGGGTTGCCGGGTTGCCTTCTTACTCTGTTGATAATGTACAAAAGTTGCACAGTAGTTTTTAATTTTGATGAAATAGAATTCATTCACTTTTTTGTTGGTTGTGGTTTTGGTGTCATATATAAGAATTCACTGCCAAATTCAAGGGTATGGAAATTTACCACTATATTTTCTTATAAGAGGTTTACAGTTTTAGTTTTACATTTAGGTCTTTGATCCATTTTGAGTTAGTTTTTCTATATACTATGAGGGAAGAATCTACCTTTATTCTTTTGCATGTGTCATATACTAGGGTGGCTATAATTTTTTTTAAAAAGAAAAGGAGTAAGAACAAGTGTGAAGGATATAGAGAAACCAAAACTCTCATACACTGCTGCTGGGGACATAAAACAGTGCAGCCACTGTGGAAAAAAGTTGTGGCCGTTCCTCAAAAAGGTAAACGTAGAGTTTCCATATAACCTAGCAAATCCAGTCCTAGGGATATACTCAAGATAATTGAAAACTGATGTTCAAACAAAAATTGTATATGAATGTTCATAGCACTCTTGTTCATTATAGGCCAAAATGGTTAAAACCCAAATGTTCATCAACTGATGAATCGATAAACAAAATTCAGTATATACTTACAATGGATTATCATTTTGCCATAAAAAGAAATGAAATACGGACGGATGCTACAACACAGATGAGCCTTGTAAACATTTTGCTAAGTGAAAGAAGTCAGGCACAAAGGGCCACATGTTGTATGATCCCATTTATACGAAATGTTCAGATTAGGCAAAGCCATAGACACAGAAAGTAGAATTGTGTTTTCCAGAAGCTGAGAAGTGGGGCCAATGGGGAGTGGCTGCTAAATGGGTCTGAGGTTTCTGTTTGGGGTGATGAAAATGTTCTGGACCTAAATAGTGGTGATAGTTGCACAACATCCTAAATGTACTAAAAACCGCTGAATTATATACTTTAAAATGGTTCAAGGGGCAGATTTCACTTATGTACATTTTGCTTTAAAAATATTGTTAAGAAAATGAGAAGGCAGACCACAGACTGGAAGAAAATATTCATAGTACAATTATTTGACAAAATAATCATATCCAGAATAGAAGAACCCTTACAGTTCAGTAATGAAAAGAAAGTATTTTCCAATAATGGGTAAAAGACTTGAACTTTGAGAGAAAGTCCCAACAAAGTAGATCTTGGCTGAATATAGAGGACTTCTTTTGAGAAGCAGAACTACTGCCTTCTCAGATGTGAGCTCTTCATCACTAGGGATATGAGCACTGCTGTAGCAGGAAATTCCAGCCTCAAATGAGGAAGGGGGAAGTGAGCTGTCTCTGAGCTGTCCCACCCCTGGGTCTATACATCCAAGACGTGATAGGTGGGGACACAGAGCCAGCCCCCTGCTCCGCGCTGCATGCATGCCTGACCTTCCCTGACCTTTTGTCAGATGCTGGTGCACCTGTCTACTTCTATGAGTTTCGGCACCGGCCTCAGTGCTTTGAAGACACGAAGCCGGCTTTTGTCAAAGCCGACCACGCTGATGAAGTCCGCTTTGTGTTCGGTGGTGCCTTCCTGAAGGGGGACATTGTTATGTTCGGTAAGGGACTGGCCACTTCCTACAGTTCACATGAAGCCCCTTGCTTACCCCACCACGATGCAAGCGCCTGGAGGACTTCGGGGTTGGCATTTAATTACCTCTGTGGTTTATAGGCGGACACAAACTTTCTCTGGAAAATGCCCTCCCTTCCATTTTTAGAAGCCAGGATGAAAAAGTGCCATGACAGTTGCTTGATGAGGGCTTCTCTTTGTACTGAAACCTACAGGTTTGGCCACTTCAGGGCACTCAAGCAATCTAAATATTTTTTTTTTTTAATATACTAGAACCATTTTCTTCCTTTTCTTTGACCACTGGTCTTACCCTCCCTCCCCTTCCCAGAAATCCCATGAGGCCACAACCTGAGGCTTTAAGAGGCAAGGACCATGTTTTTCATAATTCCAGCTCAAAGTGGTCTGCACCCAGAAGAGCTTTGTAAATGCTTGTGAAATGTTACTTGTGATGTTAGCTCATTTATTCTTAAGTTTATGACATATTTGGTGCCTAAAATAAACCAATCAGATGAGGTTATCAATAGAAAAAAATTACAGGGAAGATTACACACAGGAGTTATCACTAAAATATTTAGCTAGAAACATTACACAATGCAGGCTCTTAACTTATTCACACTGGCCTCTTGACAAAGAGGACAGAACGTTCCATATAGAGTGTATTTGTGCACTGTGGGTTATTCATTATTTCAGTTTTTCATCCTCACAACACAGATAATAAAGAACTTCCTCCTAGGTTGTCATAAGGATTAAATAAAATAAGCCCCATAAAGTAAGAGTGAATACCTAATAAACGTCACTGTTATTTCTCAGCAACCATTCCTGAGCCCATACTATGTAATGGCACATGGACTCCCTAAACTGGAAAAAGTCAACAACATATGTATCAAAAGGTTAAATTCCTTGATGTCTGAAGAGCTCCTAAAATTAATAAGAAAAGAATAACCTAATGGAAAACTGGGTAACAGATAGAAACAGATAGTTCACGGAAAAGAAAACACAAGTGGCTTCTAAACATACGAACATCCACTCAACCTCCCTCATAACAAGAAAACTGCAGACCATCCTTAGCAAGGAATTATTTTTCATCAATCAAGGTTGAAAAAAACAAAACACTTAAAATAATGTATTCAAGCAGGTGTGAGAAACAATTTTATACATTAATAGAGAAGTCTATCAATATTTAAAATGCATGTAAGGCCGGGCATGGTGGCTCACACCTGTAATCCCAGCACTTTGGGAGTCTGAGGCGGGAGGATTGCTTGAGTCCAGGAGTTCCAGACCAGTTTGGGAAACATAGTAAGACCCCCTCTCTACAAAATAATAATAATAATAACAAACAAAATTAGCCAAGCATGGTGGCACACACCTGTAGTCCCAGCTACTCAGGAGGCTGAGGTGGGAGGATCACTTGAGCCCGAGTTCGAGGCTGCAGTGAGCTGTGATCATGGCCCTGAACTCCAGTCTGGGCAACAGAGTGAGACTCCTGTCTCAAAAATTGTTTTTATTTTTACAAAATAAAAAAAAATGTGTGTAGTCTTAGCCAGGTGTGGTGGCTCATGCCTATAATGCCATCACTTTGGGAGGCTGAGGCAGGAAGAATTGCTTGAGCCCAGGCGTTGGAAGCTGCGGTGAGCTATGATCATGCCACTGCACTCCAGCCTGGGTGACAGAGTGAGACCCCATCTTTATAAAAATAAATAACATAGATTAAAATGCATGTAGTTTTTAGCCTGGCAATTCTACTTCTAGTGTTTTTGTGTAATTATACTTCCACATGTGCAAAAGTATATATGCACACTAAAATATTACTTTTACCAGCAAAAGATCGGAAATATGACATATACATTATATATTTATATATGATTGCATATAAATGTTTTTGTATATTACATGCTCATAGAACAACAAATGGCAGTTTGATAAGTGACAAGTCCTATATATGAGATCTATTTTAATAAAAAGAGCAATATGTAGAATACGTGTCCAGTCTCCTGCCAGATGTGTAGAAAGGTGTCCGCTTATACCCTGGTACCTGCAGAGCCTGTCTTTGGGAAAGTGCCTCTGAGGCTCGTCACTGGGCATCTGCAGGGAAGAGATGAAAGGGAAACATTTTCATTGGATATTAGATCTCTTTCTGCATTTTGGATTTTCTACTTTTTATTAAAGAAATACAAAAATTAATTGTAAAAATGTGTGTGGGAGGAGAGAGGCAGAGGGAGAGAGAGAAGGAAAAGAGAGAGAAGCAAGAGAGAGGGAAGACAGGGAGAGAAGGAACAGAGAGAGGGAAGAAAGAGAGAAGGGAGAGAGAGAGGGAGAAAGAAGGAAGAGAGAGAGGGAAGGAAGAGAGAGGGGAGAGAGAGGGAGAGAGAGAAGAAAAAGAGGGAAGAGAGATGGAAGGGAGAGATAGGGAGAGAGAAGGAAGAGAGGATGGAGAGAAGGAAGAGAGACAGAGGAGAAAACAGAGACAGAGAGAGGGAGCAAGCTGGTCTGTGTCCCCAGGGAACCTGCAGCCTCATGGGACTGGCTGCAGGAACACGGGGTGGACAGGGAAGATGTGTGTTCAGCTTCCACCATTCGGAAGCCACAGTTCCTTGGACAGGTCCCGGTTGCTCTGAGCCTCAGTATCTGCATGTATAAAATGGGTACAGTGATTTGGTAGGCTTGTAAGTTTCCAGTGGGAGGAGGGGTGTGAAAAGGATTCATCAAATACAAGGCACCCGGGGCTTCCCGAGCCTCACCCAGAGCAGCAGCATTTTGTGATTATCTCCTTCAGAAGGAGCCACGGAGGAGGAGAAGTTACTGAGCCGGAAGATGATGAAATACTGGGCTACCTTTGCTCGAACCGGGTAAGTAAACCTCCCGGTCTCCCCCATGCCAAGGCCTGGGATGTGAGGAGGAAAATCTCACCCCTGTTTCTGCTCTCCCTTCTAGGAATCCTAATGGGAACGACCTGTCTCTGTGGCCAGCTTATAATCTGACTGAGCAGTACCTGCAGCTGGACTTGAACATGAGCCTCGGACAGAGACTCAAAGAACCGCGGGTGGAGTTTTGGACCAGCACCATCCCCCTGATCCTGTCTGCCTCCGACATGCTCCACAGTCCTCTTTCTTCCTTAACTTTCCTCTCTCTCCTCCAGCCTTTCTTTTTCTTTTGTGCTCCTTGAGAAGTTATCTTTCTGTGATTTTGGTTTCCCTTCTCCTCCTATAATTTCTCCCGCAATCATTAGCTTCTTTCTGAGCTCAGCTGCTTTCTATGGGGATCCTTGCAAAACAAGCTGCTTTCGCTGATATTTTATGGACTTAGGAATGATCCTTACAGAATTCTTTTCAACATCAAAAAGTGCAATTTGTCTTGGAAGGCAACAAGATTTCTTCAATAAATTTGGAAGAGGGCTGGCCTATTAGTTGTCATAATAATGGTTTTGTAACTCATATGAAATAAAATCAGAATGTAAAATAGGTATACGGGGGCAGAATTTAATTCTGTGCTGATAACACTCCCCATGCCCCCAGCACCCACTTTCTATCAGAGAAGGTGTCTGTGTATGTTACCCAAAATGCAAGTCCCCCAACCCCAACCCATTGGGGCTTCAGCCGCAAGCCAAGTATGGATGTCTTGGATGTCACGGGTTTGAGCTGGGTCTCTTCTCTGGCTCAGAGAGATGTGTGGGTGACGGGGTATCCTCAGCCATGGAAAGCTGCCATCATCCAGAATAAAAAACCTAGAAGTCAAATTCTAGGCATCAAGGGTCGGATCAGCAATGCCAAGAAGAAATGAAGCTTCCCTGGTGGGGTCGAGATGAATCTGTCATTCAATAAATCTACACTGGCTGGGCAGGGTGGCTCATGGCTGTAATCCCAGCAGTTTGGGAGGCTGAGGCAGGTGGATCACTTAAGGTCAGGAGTTCAAGACCAGCTTGGCCAACATGGTGAAACCCCGTCTCTACTAAAAAAATACAAAAATTAGCCGGTCTTGGTGGCGTGTGCCTGTAGTCCCAGCTACTCGGGAGGCTGAGGTGGGATAATCACTTGAACCCGGGAGGTGGAGGTTGCAGGCAGCAGAGGCCACACCATTGTACTCCAGACTGGGTGACAGAGCGAGAATCCTTCTCAGAAAAAAAAATAAGATAAGATAATAATAATAAAAACATAAAAAATAAATCGACACTGAGCGTCTGATATATACCAGGCGTATCCCCACTAGGGATATAGCAGTGAACAAAACATGGCTGCTACCAAAGAGTGAGCAAACAGACATTAAGCAAACATTCACGCCAGTGGATATCTCATACTGTAACTTTGATAGGTGTTACTCAGGAGAATAAGGTGTTTTCAAGAAAGTGTAACGGAGGGAACCTAAGTGAGATTAAAGTCTTAGGAGGCTCTCTCTGGAGAAATAGCATTTACATCAAGAAAGGACAAATCAAAGTTAGTCACAGGGTAGGGAGAATGTTAAATACCATCATTCAAAGGATGCACTCTTACTTTGTATAGCCACATAATCCATATTATATCCATATAATTCACCAGGGTAATTAGTTTTTCTTCGTGATTGCTTCAAGATTACATAAGATGCATACAATAGGAGGGTTTCTGAGATGCCAGTAACTCATCTGGGTGAGAGATCTCCAACTCAGTGCCCGAATCAGACCCCCTGAAGTGTTTTGTTTGGCCCACACAACGTTAAACATGTTTTGGAATTTGTTGCCAGCAAATTTTAAATTAGGAAAATTTCACATTAAATGCCATATTTCCAGCTTCTTCAGGAAACAACAATAACAAGAAAACCCAGAAGATACTGTTACCGAGCTGCATTCCCACATGATAACCAGCACTTCTGGCGGTCCATACAACCTTTTATGCAAATTACAAGGTGCCCCTTCCTCAAAACCTTCTACAGACATCTTCCATGAAACTGCCATGGATAAATATCTGCATTTATGATGCAAATGACACCTTCTCTAAAGTGTTACCCTTCTGCAGTGCACTACCTGTGCAACTGTCCTCAGCAAAGATAGAGTAATCTGCAGGAACTGAGTGGTGGCTGCCCCCTTTACAGAGGCCTAAGTTCTCAACGTGCCACAGTCCACACCATACCCCTTTGTGCTGTGCCTGGTCTATTTTACTCACTGATATTACCCAACCTCTGAAGGTGTTTAAGTTTGGACCCTTGACCTCTCATTTCATAGTGAACCTCAGAGAGGTGAAACGATTCACCCAAGATCACTCAGCAAGTATGCAGTGTGAGCAAGTTAGCAGTAAGTCAAAACCAGGCCTTAAGGCTCTTGTCACTTCAGAGCAGGACTCTTACTGCCATGCAGCTACCTCTCTCATCAGATGGTCCAAAGCATTCGGTTGTCTCTGGATTAGGTGGTTGTGGGAGGGGTGGATCAGAGATGCTCTGGGCCACTTTATGGCTCTAGGCCGTGAAAGCAAGCTGGAAACTGAATTGCCTCTGCAGCTGCAGAAGACTAATTTCTATATTGATATTTGGAAAAACTAACAGCTAGAAAACACCACTCAACTCATTTTTAAAAATACGATCATATTAAATGACATTACACGCATCATTTATATATTGCTCGCAGTGCCAGCATCCTCAAATGTGTTTCTAATTTTGGTAGATATCTTGCTAGGGGGAGCACATTTCTAAGTTATCCAGATATAGGGCCCTCTTTCCTTCTCTTTCTGTCCACATGCAATCAGATGCTTTGTGGAGTTAAAGTTGACATTTATTTAAATGCCACTTTGTGTCTGTTTTTTTCCCCTTTAATTTAGAGTTTTCTATCTGGAATGTAAGTAAAATAATCACTTGGAGGGTTTTTCCAAAATACCAATGGCCAGGCCACTAGCCAGTCAATCGGAAGCAAAATCTCCTTGGATGGGACCTAGAAGTATTTTCAGTTTTCTGGCATTTTAATGAACACCCCGATTAAGAACCACTGGGTCTTAAGAGTGTGGCATATGTATTTTTCAAGTTCCTAGAGGCTCTCCAAAACAACAAAAAAATCTGCTTTATTTTCTGCCTGGTGTTGACGTGTCACAGTTTCTTTAGCCACTAGTCTTATCCTGGATATTTATGGTCATAATTTGATGAGCAACATTGGGAATGACTTCTTTTTTTTTGTTTTGTTTTGAGACAGAGTCTCACTCTTTCACCCAGGCTGGAGTGTAGTGGCGCGATCTCTGCCCACTGCAACCTCCACCCCAGTATTTTTACTTTTAAATATTATTTATGGCATCCAGATTTGCATAAGATGGACTGGGTCAACGGCCATGCCCTTTATAAGTCAATATTTTTGAGTTCTACAAATTCACTTTCCTAAAGCGCCAAATCACATCCTACTCATCAGCAAGACAGGTACACATCATTTTCACAATCACTTCTAATTTTCCACCATTGTAAAAAAAATAAAATATTTAACCACTTTCTTATTGTAAAATAAACAATTTACTTTTCCAGGACCCACTGCCTCCCCCTCCCCACTCTCCCCTTTTTTTTAAACAATCTTGAACCCTATCCATTAAATTAAATCAAAGCAAAACTTTAGGGACAAACTACGTCGGTCTTCACCTGTGAATTTCCTGATGTCCAGTAGAGGGCAGCATTATCACAAAGGAAAAACGCTTCCCTCTATTCTGAGGCTCCTGAGATGCTGGTGGTGTGACATCGCAGAACTTGGACTGACAATAAGACCATGCCAAATAGTTAAATTATATACAAGCCAATACAATATAGTGTTATCCATTCCATCTGTAACATTTGGAAAGAGGAAAAGGTAGAATCCACTCCCTGAAAAGTCTGACTGAAAAGACTAAACTCACTAGCAGAACAGAGGTTGGAGCCAGCAGTTTTTCCCTTTTCCACCTCCTGGACTTTCCCATTAAGTCTCCAGGAGCCTACCTCAGAGGGACATAAGGGATTTCCTCTCCTTGGACCAACTCAGTCCAGATTCCCCCAGGGCAGAGCTGCAGGGGAGGGTGGGAAGCGGGCTCAGGCCCTGCACCTGGGTAGCTGCCCCACCTGGTGCTGCCCCAGGTAGCGCATCTACAAGATGAGCCTCCCTTCCCCCAGCAGGGACAGATCCCACTCAGTCCTGCCCCGTATGCTCTGCTAAAAGTTCGTATTGAGAGTGTGCCTCATTATTCCCAAGGACGGGAAGGGCTGGGGAGAAAAAAACCTACCTTGCCGCTTGATTGTCTCAAAATACAAAGAAATTCATTGCAAAGAGCTCGCTGTGCTCCATGAATGGGGTGGAGGTCAAGTCTGAAATTAAAGGATGGGTAGGAAGGGGGATGGCCAGCCACAGCATGGCGGAAGTGTGACCCTGAGCAGTGGTGGCAAGGGGGCCAGCCCACGGGCAGCAGGGCTGGTGTTGGCAAGGTTGCTGGAGCACACTGTGGGTGCCTGGAGGACAGCTTTTCTACCTTGACCTTTAGGAAACAGACTTCTCTCTTTATCGGAAGATAATGCCATAAAATATCTATCTATCTATCTGTCTGTCTGTCTGTCTGTCTGTCTGTCTGTCTATCTATCTACCTATCTACCTACCTACCTATTATCTATCATCTATCAATTATCTATGATCTATCTATTATCTATCTAATCTATTTATTTCATTTATTACATTTATTTATGTAATTGTGTTTCAAGCTCTATTCACCTCCTGAACTTTTCATGTGAGAGAACAGAACTCTGGCTGATACCTTCGGTATTTTTAGAAGGATTGGTACACTTTGATTGTTATTTATCACTATATAAGTCCTCCATTAGTTTCACTGCATGCAACAATTGAGTTATAGAAGCACATTTCTGAAAATAAGTTATTCAATGGGAAAAATGGACTGTTGATGGCCAATTAGTAATATGAAGGCAAGGACAAACTTGTCCACCATCATGAGAGCTTGTTTGGTGGCCAGGCATTGACTTCATCAAGAGTCATCATTACTGCAGCCATTACATGAGCTTTGGGAAACTTCTTCCTTTTGACACTCAGATCTCTGGACAGAAATCATCTTATGTTGACATCTGGCAAGGCCCTTCCGATATTCTGTTGTAATTAGGTGGTTGGAGTTCCTGGGGTCAGCCCAGTTCTAGGAGTGGCAGAGGCAAAGAGCCTCCAGGAAACTTTGGCCTTGGGGTGGAGCTCAAAGGGGAGAGGTGCACTCCCCATGGGCATAAGTGGGGGTTACCTACACCCCAACTTCTACAGGCATCCAATACCCCTAAACCCAGAGAGTCTTTTCTGTCTCTATTCTGATTGCATAGGTGCATGGTGGTGTCTTTCTCTCCAGGAGTTAACGTCTCCTTTTTCTGTTCTAAAACTAGTTATCGTCATTCTGTTGGCCTCTCAGTGTCCAAAATGCTGTCATTTCTTCTTTCACAGTTTGTCAGTGTGGGTTTGTAGCTTTAAAAACTTTATTTCACTGTTTTTTTTTAGGATAATTGGAGGGGGGAAATAAAAAATTTTGGATCCCTCTTCTTTCACAGGAAGTGGTAAACCGTTTTTCCTTTACACAAACATTTAAAAACAATTTTTTCTACCTTTCTGACAGCTACATTGCATCCCATAGTATAATACTCAATAAATTATTTAACTGTCTACTATTGTTAGCCATTCGAATGATTTCCTATTTTGTACCATTGTCAACTTCACTGAGGTGACCACCTGATACATATATCTTTGGGCTCATTCAGAATTATTCCTAGAGAATAGTGCTTTAAAATAAAGGTTTTATCATTATTTAGGTATGGCAGGCCCACCAATCAGATGTCAGCCATTGAAAAAGCAATTTGGGCTGGGCATGCTGGCCCACATCTATAATCCCAGCACTTTGGGAGGCCAAGGTGGATGGATTACCTGAGGTCAGGAGTTCGAGACCAGCCTGACCAACATGGTGAAACCCTGTCTCTACTAAAAATACCAAAAAAAAAAAAAAATAGCTGGTGGTGGGTGCCTATAATCCCAGCTACTCGGGAGCCTGAGGAAGGAGAATCACTTGAACCTGGGAGACAGAGGTTGCAGTGAGCCAAGATTGTGCCATTGCACTCCAGGCTGGGCAACAGAGCGAGACTCTGTCTCAAAAAAAAAAAAAAAAAGAGAAGAAAGAAAGAAAGAAAAGAAAGAAAGAAAGAATAAGTAGCTTGTTACTCACAGATCCCAAGACAAGACGAGGGGGCACTCCATGCCATGGGAGCAGGAGGCTGCACAGACAACGCTGGAGTCCATCAGAAGGTGGTGGTGATGGGGATGTGGCAAAAGGTGTTCCTGTGGTTTCCCCGGGAAGGAAGAGGTGAGGCAGGGTGAGCAGGTTTAGGAGTGGTTAGTTTGAACAATTTCAGGGGGCTCTGCAGCATTGGGGCTGTTCCATCTGGTACCTAGCTCTGGGGTGATTAGGGTGCGAGGCTATTAGTTCACAGTGGGAGAGCCCATGAAGGAGGTGGTTGGGGATGTGGGCTCTGGATCGGTGAGTTTATGTATGAAAGGCACACTAAGAGACAAGTGGCTTATATCTCTAGCAATTGGCTAACCATGGGAGGAGCAGTTCCTCTAGGAGCAAAGCCCTGCATGTCAAAGTGTCAGAATGGAGAAAATAAAGAACATGGTTAATAAAAAATAGCTGGGGCAAAAGGGATGCCTTTTTGAAATGTTAGGATAGATTTTGCCAAATTGCCCCCAAGGAAGCTTGAACTAAATGATCTCTCACATCAGTGGTGAAAGTTCCTTGTTTTCTATATTGTTGCCACTAGGCACTACCGCCAAAAGAATTGTGGTAAAACTCCTTGCAAATTCAATAAGTGCCATTTGGGTATCTGGTTTGAATTTGCGTGTCTTGGTGTGTGTGCTATTCATCTGGGAAAATGGTATTTTGTGGATGTGAAGACCCCTTGGAACCTGATTGGTGGGATGGAGGGGGATTGTGGACTGTACCCACCCCGATGTGGTCCTGGCCTCCATAGAAGTACAGCTATGTGGGAAGTTTCAGAGGACTGCAACCTTCCCATCTCAGCTGTGACCCAGCCCACGAAGGATTCTAGAGATTTTGTCCCTTGCATGACCTTCTAAAGTGAGAACACAGGGCCAACACCAGTAGATCCTGAGATTTGGGCAGACCTTTGTGCAGTCCAGCTTTTTGGAGAAGCTTATGTCATTTATGCTTGCTGAGTCCTATGTAAGCCCCAAAGCCAAGCTTTCACAAGCTAGGACTTAGGCACCTTTGAAAAGGAGAAGTTTATCTTCCACCTTCCCGAAGAGTGTGTAGGAGGTTCCCCTTGAGAGTAACCACTGGTCCCTCCAGATGGCTTGGCTGCTTCTGCCAGGCTCTACTTTCAGAAACGCCCTTCATTGTGCAATTCTCAGAATTAAAGCCTTTCAGTGTCTCTTCATTGTCCAGGGATGAAGTCTGTTGTCCTTGGCTTGGCATTGAAGCTCTCTGTCCTCCATTCACCCTTCCATTGCAACTGGCCTCCCCAAGAAGCCCCTGAATCTGCCTTGTTCCAATGCTAATTTCTTCTCTGCCTCCCCAAATTTTGTCCATCTCTCAATACCCGCTACCATCAAGAGTCATCACAGTTATGGGCATTAACATATATGAATATTGATAGTTCTCAGGGCAAGAAAACACACAGAACATGCCTCTCCATGGAGGCCACTCTATTCACCTGGATGTTTATAATGTAATCTATAGTTTGACTTTACAGGGCTCTTTCCAGATTATAATTCAATCTTCACTTTTCTGTGTCTAAATTTTTACATTGCTTTCTGAATCATCTTTTTTCCCATTTTATTCTTAACAGGCTAAAGGAAGGCTTAATAAAGTAGAGCTAATGAATAGGATCTGGGTTTATAATCAGGCTTTTGTGATTTGAATCAAAGAAATGCAAAAACTTCGTGTTTATCAGAGTGTGGTACACTTATTCCTGGAGTTATGCAAGATCATTTTAGATGGCACACAAACTAAAAACCACTTATAGAATGGCTGTTTATTTATTTTGCTGTGTATTAGGGAAAAAACCCTTACTATCAAGTCCATGGTTTAATGGATATTACCTGTGACAAGGATTGCTGGCAGTCTGTTAAAATCTGTCCCACCTTCCTTGGTACACAGCCAGATTACATTTTCCAGCCTTCGTTGCAATTAGATTGAACATGTGAATAAGTTCTCACCAATGTCCTCTGAGTGGGAGTGGAGAGTGCCACAGCCAGGCCTGGCCCATACAAATGCTCCATGGTCACACTTCTGCTCCTACCTCTTCCAGGTGACAGGCAATTGACACCTATGGCAACTTTAGAAACCATGAGTGAAGGAAGGCAAAGCCACCATAGCTTAGATCAGGACTGAGTAAACTACAGCCTGAGGGCCAAATCTGGCCTACTGTCTTTTTAAAAATAAAGTTTTATTGAAGCACAGCCATGCCCATTTGCATAGGTATTGTTTATGGGCCACCTGACTACCACAGCAGTTGCCACAGACAGCCCATGGCCTGCAAAGCCCAAAGTACTTACTATCTGGCCCTTTATAGAGAAAGTTTGCCAATACCCTAATTTCGATCTCTGAATGACCATATGGAGGACAGCCACCTTGTGGACCTGAACAACACTCTAGTCCTTTACGTAATTGAAAAATAAGGCGTTGAAATTCTGGGCCTATTTGCTACCATAGTTTATCCTACTCTCCCTTATAATTCTTGCTCAGCAGTCACAGGGTGATTGCCTGATGAATGTACATGGCCCGATTTCCGGTTGTTTGCGCCATTGAGGGTGACTAGTTATGCCCATGGGAGTACAGCTCCTTCCTCTATGACCCACGACCAGGCCAAAATTTCTTCCAGATGCTCTGACCAGTTAGTCCTAGGACCTGATTGACCCCAGGGAGTCTGACCCCTAAGTATAACACAGCATCGTGGTCCTGGGAAGGTGTAAACATAATACAATTTCTGCCCATTGAACCGAATGTTAACAGGAAGACGTTCCCTGAAGCAGAAGAAAATGACCTTGGTGACGATGATCCTTGCCAAAGGTAGGTACCCTTGCCTTGTCACCTACCTGGTGGTCATGACGGCGATCAAGGCTGGCCCTGCTTTCATGTAACTAACTGGCCTTCAATGGTTCACTTTTCCCATTGAGTGACTTTTTTCAGTTATACACTTCTGTAAACCAGAAGTGTTTTTACTGGCTTTTCTTTATGTAAGTTTTTATTTTTACCATCGTTTTAATTTAAAAAATGCAGTCACACATTTTCCATGCATACCTCTAATTTATGGCAGGTTATACAGGTCTTGCAGTTATGGAAATGGTATAAAGTCTCCTTTTTGAGTGAGCATGTTAAAGTAAAAAGAGTGCTTCATTTAAAGAAAACTGTTCATAGAAGTACAGACGATACGCTGATGAGGCAAAAAACCATGATATTAGTGTGAGAATAAGTGAGGTTCCAGAAACACTGCATATGCCCAGGCTGCAGTGGAGAATGTCGTAGAATCCTGGATTCATAGAGTGTGGAGCCACGGTGAAGGGTGCATGAGAGAGCCCCTCCCCCAGAGCCACCCCCTGCCTTTCCACAAGGAATTCCCAAATGTCACCCAGTGGATTCTCAGACTTCTGTCTCCCAGTTCAGTGTTCTCCACCACAAAATCTGCACCTGATCAATCCCATGGTTCAGAGACAAAGCTGAGTGAGGGGCCCAGCAGGACATGGGCTTGCTGTGCCCAATGCCTGCTCTAATACGAGCTTTCCATATATCTGCTGAGTAAACTGATGGAGGTGGAGAGGTTTGGGGGAGTTCATTTGAAGCCCCCAGATATGCTCACTCTCCCAAGTCCTACCCCCTGCTTAGAAGTTAAGGCCAGTTCCTCGGATTTTACTTTCCACATCATATAGTTCCACATGGGAAACCAGAGGGTGTTCCCCAGGGAAAACAATAATATCCCCCCCGCCCCCCACCAACCAACTGCCACTTAAACAAGAGACGTATTGCTTACAGCTGAAGTGTTGCAGGGGAGTTATATGTATTAAGCAAAAATTAGATCTATTGTAAGGCTTGGTAGGCTCCAGCCTCACCCATCACAATCTGCAGAGTCATCATGAAGCAGAAAAAGGTGTCAGAGGCTGCAGCCAGACCCAGGCAAAACCTAGGAGTGGCCAAAAAATTCTGTTTGCACAATTGGCTGGTGTCACAAGCGGGCATGTGATTGAGCAGTGGTTCAGGAGAAGAACTAATCCTTATCTTTTATATTTTGTGAACACAGCACCACAAAATCTTCATAGGCCAAGAGCCAGGGCTGTTTCCCAGGTTGCAAAGGTCAGCTGACTAGGGCAACAGGGCAGGATGGTTAACAGGCACGCGCATGCGTGCACATGTGTGTGTGTGTGTGTGTTGTGCTGAGTGAGTGGGACTAGCCTTGCTTTCTATTTAGGAGGACCTCCCAATTTGTCCCTTGTGGATAGAGATAGGGATGCTTTTTATTAGCATGCAGTTTATCAGCCAGATTTCTGTCCTGGATAAAAGTAAGGGAGGAACCCTAAAGCTCAGGTCAACCTTTGTAGAGTCAGTTAGCTCTGGGGACTGATTCTCATGCTGTCAGAGCATCCTCATTCCCATCACAGAATGCCCCTCACCAGCCTGCACGTGGCTAGAATGAGTGCTAATGAGCATGCCTTTTTGAATTTGGGTCTCCAGAAGTTTCATTTCAGCTACAACTCATGGCCTTGGGCAAGAATCCATCAGCAGCTCTGGGACTGTCATGTGATTTATGGCTGCTGGTTGCCCAATCTTTCCTGATGTCAATAGTGGTCTGGCCTGGACAAGGGCAGGCTTGCCAAGTGACATTGGGAAAATAGAACATAGCTCCCCAGGTACCTGGTACATGGCTCCCATCTTTGTCCCTTCCTTCCTTCCTTCCTTCCTTCCTTCCTTCCTTCCTTCCTTCCTCTCTCTTTCTTTCTTTGTCTCTCTCTGTCTTTCTTCTTCTTCTTCCTCTTCTTCTTTCTTCCCTCCTTCTCCTTCTTCTCCTTCCTCTTTTTCTTCTTCTTCCTTTCTCCTTATTCTTGTAGAGATAGGGTCTTACTATGTTTCCCAGGTTGGTCTTGAACTCCTCTCTCAAGCAATCTTCCCACCTTGGCTTGCCAAAGTGCTAGGATTACCGAGCGGGAAGGGTTGCCACAGTGCCCAGCCTCCCCTGGCTATTTCTATCCCTTCAGCCCTACCATGCTAAGCCTGGGTCAATGAGCTGACAAGGCAATTTGCCTTAGATAAGGCTACTGATTAGAATATCTTCCTGATGTACAAAAGCAAGAGAAATGGCTGCCAGCCACCCTGTGCTGGAAGGCAGAAGCCTCAAGTTCTGGTTCTGACTTTGCCATTGAGTTGCTGTGTGACCTTAGGCAATCCCTCCTCATCTCTGGGCCTTAGTTTCTTTTGGGAATAAATAACGGAATTGAGTTGAGCCTATGTATTAGTCTACTTAGGCTGCCAGAAGAAAATATCACAGACTGGGTGGCTTAAACAACAGAAATCAATTTAAGATCGTGAGACAGCATTAATCTCACGGGGTTATTTTGAGAACTGAGATCCTGCATACAAAACTCTCGGCATAGTGTTTGCCACACAGTAAGCTCTCAGTAAATATTTGTCAATGAATGTATGAAGGAATAAAAGTGGAAAATGCAAATAAGTGAAACACTGACAAGATTACAGCCAGGAAATGGCTGTTGTAATTCTAATTAGATATATAGCCTTCCAATATTTTCCCATGCAAATAAAGACATATGTTACTACCAAAACGGGACCATATTATACCTATCTAGATTTTCAAAAATATTTCATTATTTTATTGAAATATAAGTCACATGTCATAAAGTTTACCTTTTTAAAGTGTACAATCTAGTGGTGTTTAGTATATTCCCAAAGTTGCACTAACATCATCACTATTTAATCCCAGGACATTTTTACCACCCCCAAGATAAAACTCATGCCCATTAGCAGTCACTCCTCATCCCCGTCTCTTTCCCCTTCCCCAGACCCTGTCAAACACTTTCTGTCTCCATGGATTTGACTATTTTGGAAATTACATATAAAAAGCATCATACGACATGTGGCCTTTTGTGGCTGGCTTCTTTCCTTTACCATGATGTTTTCCAGCTTCATCCACGTTGTAGCATGTTCTTCTTATGGCTGGATGATATGCCTCTGCACGCATACACCACACTTCATTTACACATTCATCAGGTCATGGACATGCGGGTTGTGCCCACTTTTTGACTAGGATGAATGACACTGCTCTTTGTGTACAAGCTTTTGTGTGGACATGCTTTCAGTTCTCTTCGGTAGACACCTAGGAGGGGAATTGCTGGGTCATATGGAAACTCTGTGTTGAACTTTTTGAGGAACTGCCTACACCGCACAACAGTTTATAACCTGTTATTTTCTCCTTTCACAACGCATCCTGTCTTCATTGTTAATAAATAGCTGTGCACATCACTATTTTGAGTGAATACATCGTATTTCCTTAGCCAGCGGTACCACAGTGTGTTTAGTGAATTCCCTATTGTTGGACATTTAATAATCCCATGAAAGAGGCTTTGAGTGACTTCCTTGTGTCCCCAGCAGCTTGTAAATGACAGTTTTCCAGGTGTGCCCACAGCACTCTGTATCCCCTTAATTTGGTGATTTCACATTGCCTTGACATCACCCCTACTGCTCCTCCACCCCATCTGTCTTGTCTACAATGGTGAGCCCCTTGAGAAGCTGAACCATGTCTTGAATTGGTCTTTGTATCCATTATACATGGCCAGGTGCCAAGCATTTTGGTAAATGTTCACAAAATGGATGGGTACTTGGATGGATGGATGATAACAGCCAGGGACTATGGGGGGACGGAGTTCATTTTTACATTCTGTCCAAAAATCCCTGCTTTGGAAAGTAGTGAGTTCTCTGACACCGATGGTGTGTGACAGGAGGCTGGACCAGTTGGCAGGATATTGTGAAGCTAATTCAGGCCTCAGAAAGGGGACTCGATGAAATTTAAGATCGCTTCCAAGCTTGAGAGCCTGGAAAGCTATGAAAACACAAGCCCTGGGAGCTGAGATATGTCCTAACTTACCCAGCTGAGCTGTGAGGTGTGAGTGGCTCTAACATTTTCCAGTTGTTTCTGAGGACCTCAGATCAAAGCTTCCCTTTGCCTAAAAGCATCTGCCTGCTGGTGTGGGCCCTTGGGGGCCGTCACAGTGCACTGAGGTTAGAGTCCTGCAAGGGTGAACCCTTATGTAACAAGTAGTTGGGCAAGTTTACAGCTCTCTGTAATCTGACAGTAGAGTCCAGACTGGTTTGATGAAAGAGGGTAAACTGTGGGTGGGCGTGGCCTGAGGCCCCACTAGAAGCCCAGGGAGATCTGAGGAAAGGGAGGGCTTTTCTGATCTCTCCCAATTAGAGGATTAGGCAATTGGCAGCGCAGGGCGGTAACTCTGGGCGGGGCTGGGCGCCAGGGCTGGACAGCACAGTCCCTCTGAGCTGCACGGAGACCTCGCAGGCCCCCGGAACTGTCGCCCTTCCAGGATGTGGCTCCCTGCTCTTGTCCTGGCCACTCTCGCTGCTTCCGCGGCTTGGGGTGAGTCCTTCTGAAGTCAAATATGCGGGGCACTTTTTGAAATCCTTGTTCTGGGCCGAGGTGGGCGCAGATGCGTAGAAAGGCAAAGACACAACAGGTCCGGCTCTGCGGCGGGGCACGACTTCCATATTAGGACTTGGACTTGGAGCAGCTGAGCCCGGCCAGCCTGGCCCGCGCGGAGACGCAGGGAGGGTGAACATCCTGAGATCGCCCTGTACTGCTCGCCCAAATGCAGGCCGACAGCCGGCCCACCTCAGGCCGCACACACGAGAAATTTAGGCAGCTCAGTTTGCTGTCCCTTAATTAGTCCCCTTACGGCTGGATCACGGAGAGCGGCTCAACATAATATTAAGAGCATCGACTCTGGAGCCAGAGTGCGTGGGTTCGAGTCCCCGCTGGGCGCTTCCTCGCTGTGTGTCCTTAGGCAAGGGACTGCGCTATTCCGTGCTTGGGTTACCCCCTCTCTGAAACAGAGGTGGCAGTGCTGCCTACCTCACTGGGCTTTGGTGAGGAGGAAATGGGTGGCTGTTTCTAAAGCACTCTTGGCAGCGCCTGGTATGTAGAAAGCACGAAAAAGGGATGGATAAATAAAGGCGCTGTTTAAAAACGTAGTGTATGAATAGAAAATTTGAGCTGTGGTCAGGCCACTATATCAGGACCTCTTGCCATTAAAAAGACAGTTTCTTACTCATGTTCTCAACAGGAGGGGGACACCAGTGCGCGGGGCACAAGGGGAAGCAGCAGAGCCTGGGGAGGGGACAGGGCGGATCTGAGGCCAAGGGGCTTTTACTGTGGCTTCCAAGGATAGAAGAGGAAAGGCAGGGCAGGCAGGCTGAGGACTGGCAAGTTGGGATACTTCAGGGGCTCTGGGGCACAGGGGCTGTTCCTAATTGTTTTGTACCTAGCCCTGGCATGATTAGGGCAGGTGGGTAGTGGCCAGGGCATGGCAACCCGATCAAAGAGGCGGTTGGAGTGTGGGCTCCAGGTTGGCTGGACCCTGGGAGGGACAGTTTCTCCAAGGTCAACAAGGCCTCAGATGCCAGAACATCAGAATACAGAAAGCAAAACAGATGGTACATAGAGGGGTGCAGCGAGGGGCCTCGAAATACCCCCGTGCCATTTTATAGACAGAGAAACTGAGACTCACACAGGGAAATGTACTTGCCCAGGGTCAACCCGAAAATCACGCCTAGGTCTGTCTCTGGGTCCTGAATCCTGACAGCCCAGCCCCGTCTGCATCCTGTCTTCCTTCTGGCAGCCTGACACTGCGAGAGCTCTGGAACTGTGGGGAAGGGCAGAGAAGAGAGGAAGCCTATTTGGAACTGAATGTTCCTTTACCTCTGGTTACTCCTGGCAATGCCATCCATTTCCTTCCTTAGGAAGACCATACAGGCTGCCTCCACTTCCTCAGTTTCCTCCTCTGTAAAATGGGCATGTTGATGCCTACCCAGCAAGGCTTATTTGAAGATGGATTTAAACAAACTGGAATGCATGCCTGGCACATAGTAGGTGCCCACCATGTTCGTGCTTCATATAACATCAGCAGCAACTGGTCTTGTTCTCACACTTGTTTCTGCCTCCCCCCATTCACCCACTTTTTCACCCTTGGCAATCTGGCTGCCATCCACCTCATCCTGTTGAAGGGAATCCCTGAGCTGAGCATGACCAGCCCAGTGGTTTCTTCTCTGACTTGACTCTCCTCCACCTCCCTGAAGTCCTCAGCAATCTTAGCTGGTTCCTCGCCCTCTTGCTCCCTGGGCTTCAAAGACATGGGAACGTTCTCTCTCCCCTATTCTGATGGATCTTTGGTCTTGGCCGTAGTGGTCCCTGTGTTTGACCTTTGTTTTTTTTTCTCTTCCCTCTCACACTGGCATCTTCAATGAAGCCATACACATCCACCGTATGTACCCTCACAGTCCAGGAGAAGATTCTGCCCTGCTCCCTCACCAGGCTTCCTTCCAGCTTTGAAGTGCGCTCATCCTGTGGCATCATCTTGCCTGGATATCCCACTCACATCTCCACCGAGCCTGTGTAAACAGGGATCCAGCATTACAAGCCAGCTCTTTGGTCTTCTTTCCCTTCCATTTCCCCCACCTCTGGTCAGGGACCAAGTCTTTTCTTTTCCTTTCTTTTCTTTCCCTCCCTCCCTCACTCCCACTTGCCTGCCTGCCTGCCTGCCTGCCTGCCTGCCTGCCTTCCTTCCTTCCTTCCTTCCTTCCTTCCTTCCTTCCTTCCTTCCTTCCTTCCTTCCTTCTTTCCTTCCTTCCTTCTTTCCTTCCTTCCTTCCATCCTTCCATCTTTCCTTTCCTTCTTTCCTTCTTCTCTCTCTCTGGAGGAGCCAGGATTACAGGCTCATGCTACCACACCCAGCTAATTTTTCTATTTTCAGTAGAGAGGGGGTTTCACCATGTTGGCCAGGCTGGTCTTGAACTCCTGACCTCAAATGATCTGCCTGCCTTGGCCTCCCAAAGTGCTGGGATTACAGGTGATCCACTGTGCCTGGTCTCCAAGTCTTTCAAAATACCTTTTAGACATCATCATATTTCTACATATTTTTTCTTTTTTTATTTAAAATTTTAAAATAATTAAGATGGGGGGGAGGATTTCAGGTGAAGACCGGAAATCCCATACAGTGCTGAAAAGGTGGAAATCACCAAGAAAACAGGCCACATGTAATGCCACCACCCATTGCTATGTCGATAAACATGCTTCCAAGGAAGTTCATCTCAGTATTATTTGTAATTAGCAACAACAACAAAAGAAAAGAAGCTAAATATTGACATTGCAGGGTTGGCTATTAATAAGATGAGACATGGATGCTGTTGTGTAACTGGGCTTTCCATAATGGGTTTCCATTGTGATTGGATATTCCCCTTTAAGACCAAATCTGAATTGTTCTGTTCTGCTCTAGCCCCACACTTTGAGGGAGGTGTTGACGTCTTGTCTGTATCCAAAGCAGAGCAGCTGGGAGGACAAGAGGCTGGAAATCATTTCCTAGGAGGGAAGCTCAGAGAAACTGAGGTGACTGGAGCCAGATAGGACCTGAGGGGTGGGCAGCAAGATCAAGTGTCTGAAAGGCCACAGGCTGCAGATCAGATCAGGCCAGTATAGTCCCATGACAGGTAGAACCAGAACTGATGCGGAGGCTGTGGGAAATGAATTTCAGCTCAGTGAGGAAACATTGTCCGTGCTGCAAGAATGGAGCAGACCTGCCCAGGGCCACCAGAAGAATCTTCCTTGACCTGATCACATCCTTTATCTGGAACGGTTCCTGCTGCTTATTTGTCCATTAAAGAAAACTCAAGCGCTTAGCCTGGCATTCTAAGCCCTCCCTGACATGTGCGGTCTCATTCCAGGAATATTTTCCACTCCCCCCAGACTCCACCTGGTGCATGTGGGCCATGCCCCCTTCCCCAGGCAGGCTCTGCATTCTGCTGCTCTGAGCCTCAGCAAATTCCCTTCTCTCTGCTGTGTACCACTCTCTGCTTCTCATCTCCCCTCATTCAGTCCTCCCCTGCCGCAAGTCCCAGCTCCTCCATGATGCCCGCAATCAGAAGGCCTTGCCCCCTCTTCTAATTCCTAGACTGCCTTATGGGTACCTCTCCCAGGACATGGCCACTTCCTTCCCAGCTGTAGCCCCAGGTGTATATGTGACCCTTCCCTATAATGGTCAGTGCTTGTGAGAATATGGGACACCCCTTTTTCATCCTCTCATCCAGCATGCGGCTCAGTGCCAGGATTCTAATGGATAAATGTTTCCAGAGACTTCTAAGGGGGAAGCTAAATGTCTTGTTCTTTCCTAGTAGCTCTCCTTCTTGCATTTATTTTTAGCTGGATGTTTTTATGCCTCCAATTCTAGTTTGCCCATTAAACCAGCTCAATGGGTTAGGGAGGACATTGATCGTCATCCCTATTGTACATCAAGAGAAACTGAGGCCTAGAGGGTTTAGGTGACTTATTTAAGGTCACTCACTTAGAAAGCGGCAAACTCCACCTGGAATCTGGGTCCAGCCTTTTGCCTCTGATGCATCCTGATTTATTCTCCATGTCCAGCAGGGCATCCGTCCTCGCCACCTGTGGTGGACACCGTGCATGGCAAAGTGCTGGGGAAGTTCGTCAGCTTAGAAGGATTTGCACAGCCTGTGGCCATTTTCCTGGGAATCCCTTTTGCCAAGCCGCCTCTTGGACCCCTGAGGTTTACTCCACCGCAGCCTGCAGAACCATGGAGCTTTGTGAAGAATGCCACCTCGTACCCTCCTATGTAAGCTGCGGCATGTGTCCTTGGGGATGTTTACCTCAAAGTGATGCAGGAAGGAGTCAAGGCAGTCCCCTGATGGGCTGATCCTTTGCTCTGGACTCCTTAAGATCTTTGTAGATCCTTAAGAACATTCCAGAACTCTCACAGCATTCTGGAGTCCATTATTTAACACATGTTTATTGAGCACCTGCTGTGTGCCAGGCGTGTTCTGGGTTCTTGGGATCCATTAGTGAAAAAGCAAAGATCCCTAGGTTCCTGGAGCGTGCATTCTAGCAGGGGGAGACAGATAAGAACAATATGCAAATTACTCCGTGGATTATGTGATATGATAGAACAGGAAAAGTGCCTTGGAAACAAAGAAGCAGTTAAGCAGGTGAGGGAGATCAGAAGGAAGGATCCCATGAATTCTGCTGTCTTGAATTTTGACATAGTCGGGGAGAGGAGTGGGCCAGGAGGTGTGTGGGTGGCAAGTGTACTGAGGTGTCCACTCGGCAAGTGCTCAACTCTCAGGTGTGCCTATTCCTGAGGAGAACAATGGAAGGTGTGTCCATTCACCCTGGCCAAGCTGGGAAGAAAAGCCCAAAGGTTCTAATTGGCCTCACCATCACTCCCCAGGGTAGGAAGGACCCTACAGACATCAGAGCAGACCCTGCTCATCTCAGCAGCCAGGTGTTCGGAGGCTTTCCAGCAGCCCACCAGTGGCCGCCTTCTTTTCTTCCCTTTTTTAAAAAATAATGTTTACTGTTTTTATTTTCTGAGTGCAAATGTAATATATACTTATTACAGAAAATTTAGGAAATACAGAGAAAGGAAAGTAAGAAAATTAAGATCACATACAATATTCCACCACCCAGAGAGAACAACTATCAGTATTTTAGATGGTAAAGTATTATGATGTAATATATTGTTTGTATTCCAGTTTTTTTGCCTGTTGATATACTTTCTTTCTTTAAAAGGGAATGCTATATTGAGATAATTTGGATGCCTGCTTTGCTCATTTATAAGTATATCATGAGCATAATTCCATGCCATTAAATAGCACAGCCTGGTATTAAAAGCTGCATTACATTGGGTATTGAACCATAATTAATTTCCCCAAGCTTTTATTTGGGGTCATTAAGTTATATATGATGTTTTTAATAATATAACATCATGAATGTGAAACATTTATGCACATTCATGAATAGTTTAGGATAACTTCTCAGAAATGACATTTCTGAGTCAAAGAGTATATATTTCTTGTTTGATTTCCCTCCCAAAATATTCCAACTACACTCCTCCCATTGACGTATGAACATCTCCATTTGGCAGACTCTTGGCAATGCTTGGGATTATTAAAAATATTTTTGGCTATTGTATAGGCAAAATAATAATAACAATACCAGCAATATTATTTTCCTCTTTAATTTGCATTTATCTGAAGACCAGTGAGTTCTTTTTTCCTTTCTTCACATTGGAATGTATTATTATTATTATTATTATTATTATTATTATTGTTATTCCTCTTGCACTTGGTGATCTTAGGAAAATTTCCCAGGATGGAATCAAGAAGTCATCTTTGCTGGCTCTGATTCTGTCACTTGAGAGCTGTGTCATCCCAGAGTCTGAGTGCCTCAGTTTCCTCATGTACCTAGTGGGGGCGGTGATGACTGCCTTTTGGTACATTGAGGTCTGGGACTGTTGCTTATAATATACTTGTGTATAAGCACCACATGGCATGGATCTACCTGGCTATGTAACCTTGGTCAGGTTCTCTAACCTGCCTAGGCTTCAGTTTTCTCATCTGTAAAATGGAGATAATAGAACCTACCTAATGGGACTAGTCTGAGGCTTAAATGAGTTAATATACAAAAGGTACTTAAAACAGTGCCTGGAACACTGGGAGAACTAAATAACTATTACCAGTGTTCATCTATGTTGCATCCTTGAGATCTTTCATCAGGGCAACACAACAGCAACTGCCTGGGAGAGGCAGGTGGTAGAATCTTGGCATGTCAGGGCTGCAAGACTCATGTAGAAATCACTCCGCTCACTTAGACCTGGCGGATTGGGACGCAGAGTGTAAAAGGAATTCACCCAAGGTCACCCCATAAATGCATGGGAGAGACAAAACTAGAGCACAATTCTCCTGATGTTGTCCCACAAAGATATCACCCCTGAGCTATTGTGAGAAATGTCACCTCCCAGGGAGGATCAGTGTATTAGTGGTCTCCCCTCCTTGATGCTGGGAGTTCCAAAGGCTCTGGAAAGGGAAGAGGTGTGAAGCCCTTCTCACTCTGCTTGGTCTTAGGAGACCTTAGTGAGTCCCAGCGCCCCCACCTGAAGCCCCTGATAGCCTCCTACCCACTACAATGTCGTGAGTCTGTAACTATCAAGTCCATTTCCAGGCTTAAACCTCCCAGTCCAAGGCGCTGCCGTAGAAAACACCTCGCTTAGATCTGGCTGAACTTCAGGGGTTCTTCTTTCCCCCTCCCCAGGTGCACCCAAGATCCCAAGGCGGGGCAGTTACTCTCAGAGCTATTTACAAACCGAAAGGAGAACATTCCTCTCAAGCTTTCTGAAGACTGTCTTTACCTCAATATTTACACTCCTGCTGACTTGACCAAGAAAAACAGGCTGCCGGTAAGTTGTGGGACCCCCTGGTCAAGGCGTGTCAGTGCCAGTACCCCGCATCTTCTGGGGCAGAATGGAAGGGAGTGAAGGCAGCTTGGGGAGGGAGCTGCACAGGCCAGGATTGTTTCAGAGACCCCAGGGCCTCCACAGGAAACACTGGTTTTCCACACATCAGTTTACCCTCGTGACATAGGCACTCTGGGGGAGTTTGTTTTGCATCTTTAATGAACATCTTAATTGTTCCAAGTTCCCTCATGCTAATAGAAGGATGAGAATGATTACTTTTAGTTACTAGATTAAAAATCTGATACCAAGATTGGGTAAGACATGATTTTCAATGTTAGTGGTGGAAAGAACTTAGAGAAAAGCCAACACCCCAACTCTTCCTTTTCAAATAGAGAAACTGAGGCCCAGACAGGGAAGGGGAGGTCACCCAGTAGGGTAGTTTTGGCTCAAGTCTTCTGATCTTCACATCAGTGCTTTTGACATGGAGTAGGGCATTGAGCTTGTATGTGGCCTTTCTCCAGCACAGCAACATTCATCTGGGGTAACTTTCACTGTCCAGGTACGGATGTTGGGGGCGGAGCCTGGACAATCCCAGAAGCTCTTCCTTTTGCCTTTGGCCAAATAGCTGGGATTTCTTTTTGTACCTAATTTCCCTCCCTAATTGTCTTGGCAAAGGCTGATGACCCAGTGAGTCAGAATTTCCCAAATAAATGAAGGGCAGGACATGGGGCAGCCCGCCAGCTGCAGGTTGGAGGGTGGGGAGGGTCTGCTGGCAAAGGAGGCACCCAGGGTGAAAAAACAAGGGGTGTTGTGTCTAGCCAGTCTCCCAGGGGCACCGTGGCATGGTGCCTAGGAGTGGGGGAGCAGGTCTGCGAACGTGGAACTAGAAGTTGGTCCTACATGTGCTTTGTGAGACACAGGAAGTGAGAGAAAGGTTTACTCATTCATTCATTCATTCATTCATTCATTCATTCATTCTTCTATTGTGTACTCAGTGCCCCATATACACAGTTAGACCTGGGGCTTCAGGGAAAGGAGGAACATGAATCCACTCCACACAGCCCCTGCCTTCAAGGATCTTGCCTTCTGGGCTGTAGAGACATATCCTCCCTTCAGCACTTTATTGCAGGCCAGCCCTCAGGCTCAGTCTTCACACAAAGATGAATGCACACTCAATCCCTCCCCAGGAGGCAGGCAGGGATTAGAGTTGTGGGAGAAACAAGGGCTCTGGGAACCTGGAGTCAGGAGAACCTCCAGGAATGGCCACAGGCTCTAGAACTACACGGTCTGGGTTTAAATCCTGGTTCTGCTTTTGACTAGCTGAGAGACTTGGGAGTTTCTTAACTTCTCTAAGCCTCTGTTTCCTCAAAATGGGAATCATCACATATGATCAGTCAAGGGTGACCACTAAGCGTGATCTCAGTCCCTGGCTAAAAAGGCAGAGGCAGGCTCATACCCCTGCCCTAACAGTGGACTCACTGCACTGTGGCCGGCGCCTGCAGTGTGCTGGGCAGCTCAACATGTGGACTCTGGAGGCAGACTGCCTGGGTTAAAGTCCTGCTGCTACCACTTTTGAGTTGTAGGACCTTGGGCAGGTTAAGTGCCTCCATTTTCCCACCTGGATAATGGGACATTATTAGTACCTACCCAATGTATAGTTTATTTTACTGTGCTTAGAACAGCACTTGGGACATAGTTTATGTTACGAGTTCTTTTATATTTCATGAATAATATTATTACAATATCATTATTTTAGCCACTCTCACTTCTTCCCCACTATGTGGACTTTTAAAATGCAAGAATCATGCATGAGGAATTGTATCCACTCTCATCCTCCAGTATTAGCAGAGTCCCTGGCACATGCTAAGTTCTCGACAGTGTTAGTCCATTGACTGAAGGCATCCTGAAGTGGGTGGGTTTTAGGCTGGGTTCTGCAGGGTGGATAGGATTTGGGGATGCAGAGGCATAAGGAGGCATTTGAGGAAGAGACACCATCACAGGCACGTGTGCTTCTCGAGACAATCATTCATGCACAGAGAAGTTTACTTCACCAAGAGATAGTTAACTGAGATGAAGCTGAGATACAAGGGCTGCCCCATGGGTACGCTGAGTGCATGAATAGTCTAGGCTTGAGGGTGATGGGAGTGTCCTCCCGAAGAGGACATCCTTAGCCTTTGCTATGCCCATGATGATGTTCTCAGCATCAAGAGCCTTTCGGGGAGGAGGCACTGGAGGCTGGGTAGAAAGGAAGGGACAGCCAGGGTATGTGCAGTAGGGTGGTGGCTTGGGTCCCAGTTGGGAGAATTATGCAGGAGAGAGATTGCCTTTTGCAAAGTTGCTGGGAGCTGGTGAACTTTGGATAGCATCCTCCTTCAGTTGTAACCAACAGGTAGGTCACCAAACAAGACATCTTCTGAGTGCTCCCTGGCTCTGTGTCCTGTAACTGGTATGTTGCTTCCTCTCTGCCCAGGTGATGGTGTGGATCCACGGAGGGGGGCTGATGGTGGGTGCGGCATCAACCTATGATGGGCTGGCCCTTGCTGCCCATGAAAACGTGGTGGTGGTGACCATTCAATATCGCCTGGGCATCTGGGGATTCTTCAGGTAAGAAATCGGACTCTCCTCACTGCACTTTGGCCCCCAGAACGAGGATGCTAGGACCCAGCTCTGGTCATGCCAGCCCTCAGGGGAGCTTAGCTAGGTTCCACAGTAAGGCATCCAAGCCCCTTCGTAATTGGACACTACCTACCCTCTCACTACCCAGCCACTCATCCACTTGCCTCTGAGCTTTTGCATGTGCTGTTCCCTCTGCCTGGAATGCTTATTCTATCCGAAGAACACCTCTTCATCCTGCAAGACCCAGCCCCCAGTTACCTCCACTGAAAGACTCATCTCCTCTTCACCTATGTTTCTCCAGCACATTGCTTTTCTCTGTCATGACACTTAGCAGTCAGCCCAGCAGGTGAAGGTTGACACATCTGACTTCTCATGGAAAGGAGGGAAGGGGCAGAGTCACAGAGGGAGCTCAGGGCATGTTGTGGGTGAAGGAATGGGGGCTGCAGATGGTGGGGTGTGGGAGCATCTGACCCCTTCCTGTGGGAGTGTTGGGACCCACTCAGCTCATTTTCTGCTTGAAATTTGGCAAGTGTGGGAAGCAAGGATGGAGTCTTCCCATCAGGTCTCCATGGGGACAGGAGTCAGATCTCCTTCAAGGCGCAACTGCTATGAACCTTTTCTAAGGTTCTCCTCCATCCATGCCAGTCAGGTTTCTTCCTGAACACGCCACTCAGTTGGTCTCATTGCGGTCATCAATGACCTCCCCCTGCTCTCCACCCAACCTCTCAGGACCTCCCAGCAGCAGCAGATGGCCACTCAGCCTCTGTGACATGCTTCCTTCCCAGCCCCTTTCCTGGTCCTCCCTCCTCCCTGTCCACAGGCCTCTCTTGTCTCCCTCTCCCTCCTTACTAATTCCCAGTGATCCCAGGGAGCAGCCAGAGCCCCTGTTTCCAGCCCACCTCACCTTTGAAGCCCACAGGCATCACTCACTCCCTCCTCCCCACCCCTGGCTGTCTAAAGGGTGCCCCACTCTTCCCAGGGACAAGTTGAATCCTTGACTCCCACTGCCCCTCCCCAACAGAGACCCCCTTCTCCTCCCACCACGCCTCCACTCAGCTTCTGCTGCCACATCCTCCCTTGGGCTCAGGAGAAGGCCTTGTGGACAGCCCGGACTGTCTCTTTTCTCACAACCCTCTTGGCTGCGCCTTCAGAATCCACTCAGAGTCCCCTACTTTGCACCTCTTCCCTGGCTCCTAGCCCAGCCAAAGCTCTCTGTCTGTCACCTTGATTATGATCTTTAACACTTTCAGATCCCTGCCACTTTTATATAAAGCTGAGTTGCACAGTAGCCAGAGTGATCACTTAACACATGCATTGAATCATGCGATGCCTCTGCACAAAACCCTGCAGGGGCTTCCCATGCTCCTTACCATGACAGCCGAAGTTCTTGCCAGGCCCCAGGGCCCTCTCTAGCTGCACCTCCTGACTCACACTTTCTTTCACTGGGCCCCAGGCCCTTTGCACTTGCTTTTTCTTCTGCCTGGAATTCCTTTCTTTGGATATTTACAAGGTTCATGTGCTCATTGTGCTTGTTTTATGAAGGTCTTTGCCTCCAAAACCTCAAATGTCACTGCCTCCAAAAAGCCTTCCCTGATTGGGATCTGAAATGGCACCCCCTGTCCCACTCCTGTTTTTTTCCTTACTCCATTGTATTTACCTCAGTGCACTTTGACTACCTGACATCATTATATTCTCTCTATGTATCTGTTTATCTGCTTGTGATCTGTAGTGGGAATTCAGTGTCATCACAGGTTTTGCCTGTTTTGCTCTCAGATGTGCTCTAGCTCATAAGACAGCGTCAGGCATACAGTAGATGCTCAGTAAATAGTTGCCAGTTGTGTGAATGTAGAACCATACATCACCACAATGCTGTACTAATGAAAGCAGGGTCTCAGAGATGCTGAAGCCCAGCCTTATTCTTAAGGGTTCACTGAGAACCCCTAGCCCCATCTGTGGTCCTGAAGGTCCTGCATGACATCTCTGCTCCCCACCCTCAACCTGTTCTCTTCCTCACAGCACAGGGGATGAACACAGCCGGGGGAACTGGGGTCACCTGGACCAGGTGGCTGCCCTGCGCTGGGTCCAGGACAACATTGCCAGCTTTGGAGGGAACCCAGGCTCTGTGACCATCTTTGGAGAGTCAGCGGGAGGAGAAAGTGTCTCTGTTCTTGTGAGTTTTCCTGTCACCAGGCCCAACCCCACGCTTGATGTGATGCTGATGAGACCTCTTGGACACCTGTCAATCCAGCTATGGATACCTCTGATTACAATACCTGAATTCAGGACTGGCCCTACTCACAGCCCAGCATCAGGGGGTAGAAAGCTAAAGACCAGCTCTCCTTGGCCCCCAGGAAGCTCAGAGCTCAGCTTAGTGTCCTGGGGCCATATGAATCTCCAGTTGCAGCCTGCAATGGTGGCATTCTCCTCTTCCAGCTTGGTTGAGCTCTCTCTCTCTCTCTCTCTTTCTCTCTCTCCTTCACACTCATTTTAACATAAGGACTCACATCCCTTCTCTTGGGAAGTAGGAATAGGCATAAATTATGAGTAAGGGCAGGCAGAGAGAAGAGGTGGACAGAGGTCATTGTTTGGCTAAACCAGACCTACATGTGGAGGGGACATGGACACTGAGCAGGCTGGGAATTCCTCTGGGGTGGTCTGATGGCTTGTCCATGCCCAAGAAGGAGGCGACAGTCTTTGTGACTGTGGGGTCCAGTGGGCTAGGGGAGGCAGGCAGAGGAAGGAGGGATGGAGCCGCGGATAGGGAGGGATGGGGCAGGGGTTGTGGGTCATAGACACAACCTTGGGTGTGAGGGGTCCTGCTGGGATTGGGGATTGGGTTCAGGAGACACTGGGGGATCTGGGATGAAAACCCAGATGAGAGGTGCTGGGAGCTGTAGGAAGACTTCCACCTCCTTGAGGTGGGCAGAGGGTCAGCCCACTACTGGATTCCTCAGTCCCGTGTTGGTTTTATAGTGGAGTAGATCTAGCCTGGAATAGCGAGTGAGTCACTGACCCCACTCCTGAGCATGAACTCTCCTCCCCTCCACTCTGCTGTCAGGTTTTGTCTCCATTGGCCAAGAACCTCTTCCACCGGGCCATTTCTGAGAGTGGCGTGGCCCTCACTTCTGTTCTGGTGAAGAAAGGTGATGTCAAGCCCTTGGCTGAGGTAGGTCTCCGGCTGGTACGTCTCCGGCTGGACACCCCCACCTCCTTGGCTCTATGCTCCTGAATCCTCAGGGATCTCTCTTGTGGTCGGTTGTAGCTAATGTTCTCCTAGAATCACTGAGGCACCAATGGCTGAGCAGGAAGGGCGAGGAGACACCTTGATCAGCGTCCCAGTTTCACAGCCAGGCAAACCGACACAGGGCTTGGAAGGGATTTGCCAAGGGCAGCAGGTGATCAGGGCAGAGCTGGGACTCCAGCTCATGGCCCTAGCAGCCAGTACAGTGCCCTATCTGTGACCACACTCCTCCTATGTGCCAGGGCCTGGTGCCATGTTGGGCAGTGATGGTGTCTTGTGTCTCTCTGGGTCTGCCTAATGGCTGGTAAGTGGAACAACCAGGATTTGAAAGCAGACAAGGAAATTCAGGATTCCATGCTCTCTATCCCAGCTCCACCTCACATTTCTTGACACATTCACCTTGAGATGATTATGTCCATTTCAATGGAGATAAGGTAGCAGAGATGAGAGATTACATAATTGACCCATGTTACAATTGAGATTAGTAACAGAGGCAACGCTCCGTGGGACCTGGAACCCACACCCACGGGTCTACAGTATCTTCTGCTGCTCCCTGCCACTAGTACAAGTTGGGCTTGGGATAGAATGCCACTTTCCTCTTTGATGGAGGGAAGGGATGTCGCTCTTGAACTCTGTTGTTGCCTGTGATCTTTGCAGCAAATTGCTATCACTGCTGGGTGCAAAACCACCACCTCTGCTGTCATGGTTCACTGCCTGCGACAGAAGACGGAAGAGGAGCTCTTGGAGACGACATTGAAAATGGTAGGTTGCCTGTTCCCGTAGCCCAAACCCTGTAAACTTGGTCCCAGACTTCTTCATTTCAGCTGTCCTCTTGCCCAGGGACAGTTTCCTGGGACAATTTCTCAACTCTCAGTATCTGAATGGGGAATCTGATTTGTCCTTTTTTATTGTAAAATGCCACAAATGTAAAAAAAGAAAGTCAAAAAATAACATGATAAAAAATTGTGTAACAATCCCCAGTCCTGACCAAAATTTAATATTTTGCCATTCTTGTTTTCAGATGTATTTTTAAGAAATTAAATGTTACATATTCCCAGGGGACACCATCATCCTGAATTTGGGGGATGGAGATATTAAGCTCAAAGATTTTCAGAAAGATGTCACAATTTATCTTGGTTGACTTAGAAACTGTCTGTATTAGACCTAGTGGTGGTCCAGTTTTCTAGATTTTCTGAGACTGACTCAGTTGTCATCCTAGGATAGTCATCCATCCACCCATTCGTTAATCCGTCTATCTATGATTGTCTTATCCATCTATCTGTTCACTAATTCATCCAATTCACTCATATCTTTTTATCAATCTAATGTCAACCTATTCATAACTTTGTATTTATCTATTTTCAATCCATTCACCATTCATGGATCATCCAGCCACCTTATATCTCAACTCCATCACCCATTCCTCCAAAATCAACAATCCAATTATCGCCTGTCTGCTAGTTTTCACCCATCTATTCATGTATCCATTCAATTCAACTGTACTCCATGTATTGACCAACTCCATCCATCCCTCCATTGATCCATCCATCCATCCATGCTAAATATGTAGGGGTGGGTGTTAGAGGTAGCAAAACAGACATGAAGTGGACATAGTCCCTGCTCTCAAGGAACTATCCAAAGAGAAATACATTCATATACTTCGCAGGTTGAGTATGGTGGCAGCACAGAGGGGAAGCATTCATTGTAGTAATCAGGGATGCTTCACAGAGAAGGCGGAGGAGCCAGATTTGAGACCAGACAGTGGAATTCAGGAGTTCATGCCCTTAATCCTGACTCCACCTTATCTTTCCTGAGAAATTCAGCTTTCAGATCATTGTGCCCATTTTAACAGAGGTAACAAAGACAGATAAATTTTGTAATTGCCCCATGTCACAGTTCAAATTAGTCACAGAGGCAACACTGTAGGACCCAGAACCGACACCTGCGGGTCTAGAGTATCTTCTGCCTTCCCTGCTCCCTGCCATCCTCACATATTAGGACTTGGGGACCTTTAGGATTGTTGGATGGCCATGGCAGTCTCTCATCACAGGGAAGACCAGGAGGACAAACACCCAGATGACACAGCACCCAGGGCCATTGGGAACTATTCCCTTTGAGGGGGAAGAGTGTGAATTCCAAGCTCAGGAGTAGCCTGGACTCTCTCCTTGGACCTGAGGCTACTCCTGGATCCCAGGGCTGGCCTCTACCACTGGACTCTGCTTGTGTTTCCATGAGTTGAGTCCAATGTGGTATTGGTGCTTAGGTCTTGGCTCAGGCTCTAAGTGACCAAAGTGTTCAAGGAATGAAAACACAACTGTTTTCTAACGCCCGGAAGGAGGCAAATATTCCAGCAATTCTGCATGTGGCATCAGAGGACCCAGCTTAAAAGGGAAGAGTTGAGTCTTTGGGAAAACCCATCCCTAAGATCCTAGAACATTCTTTTGAGTTTTTCTGAGATCTTGTGGAAGCACCTCCATGATTACGCGCTGCCTCCAGTACACACACATGCAGACACACAGACAAACACACACACACACAGACACACACACAGAGAAACACATACAGACACACACACACAGAGACACACACAGACACCCACACACAAAGAGCCACACACAGACACACTCATACACACACACACACACACTCCTGGCTAGTGGGACTTCAATCCTTAATGGAGGGACCTGCACTGGTTACATCCTGAGCACAGGTCAGATCTGGGAACTACAGTGCAACACTACAGTCACTGCAATCTTGGTGAACACACACCAAAGAGAAGCATGGGGTAGGATGAGACTCAGTGAGCTTGCGTGAGTCAGGGCTTTCTAATGGGAGATGAGGAAACTCTCCCAAGTACCTTGAACAGAAAAAGAAATGTGTTGCAATAGCATCGTCGTGTAAACTGAAAATCTCAGGAGTTGATGGCTTCAGGCATGGCTGGGTCCAGATGATCATAGGATATTATTGAGAATCTACCATTCTCTGTCCTTCAGCTTTGCACATCTCTGTGTTGGCTTCACTCTTAGGCAGATATATCTCCTGGGAAGGTTAAAGACAACAGCACTCTAGACTTATGTCCTATCTGCTTAAAAACCCTCTTTCTAAACAATTCCTGCAAAAGTTTTGGGGTAAACTCTATTGGATTGACATGAGTGTATGCCCATCCCTGAACTAATATTCATGTTCAGGGAGATGGAGCACCGCAGGTCACATATAGATATACGAATTCACGGAGTGATGCGGGAAGAACCTGACACCTCTGTTGCCCCACTCACCCAGCTCAGTGTTCTCCTGGTAAGCCTCTCACCCACATCCTCTGCCTTTGTCTTCACAGAAATTCTTATCTCTGGACTTACAGGGAGACCCCAGAGAGGTAAGGACCTTTTGTTTCTGGATTACGGGTTTTGAGTCTTAGCACCTTTAAGCTCCAATTAACTGTGAGTGAAAGAATCATCTCTTGGGTAATTATAGTAACTCCTGCGTGTTTGTTTCTGAGGCCCAGAGAGGGGTAGTGACTCACCTGGGTAACACAGCCAGGAAGACTAGTGGCTGGCCTGGAACCCATTTTCCTGACTCCCAGTCCAGTGCTCCCAGGCATCACCTCTGTGTGCCCTGGGCTCTGCCCACTCCCCTTCTTTTTTACATTTTCTGCTCCCCAAAATGGCACTGTAGGAGGAGGCTGAAACAGAACCTTCCACAATCAGGAGGCAGAGATAACAGCGATGATTAGCCAAGGAGAGGGGAAGCCTAAATCTCAGTCCAAGGACACTCGTCTCCTCCCAGCACACAGGAAACTCCAACAGTATTCTCCCAATCTCCTCATCCCCACTCCCACCCCCACCTCCCAGTGGGTTGACAGTTTCTGGTGACATCACCTCTGACGAATCTTACAATCCTGTCCTCTCTGCTGCCTCCCTGGAGATCACAGCACTCTCCTAAATGGTCATGGGCGGAGTACATGAGATTCATTCAGCAAAGACTTAATAAACACTTCCTATGTGCCAGGACTTGTTTAGGAGCTGGGGATATAACAGTGAAAAAAGAAAGACTCCCTACCCTCTTGGGACCTTCCATTACAGTGCCAGGACAGTGCAATAAAAAAGCAAATCAAGTATGTATTCCGTTTGATGGTGTGCAGCATTAGGGGATAGAGTTTGTGGGTGGCTTCAATTTAAGTAGCAGGATCAGGGAATGGTTCAATGAGAAGGTGGCATTTGAGCCAAGCTCTGGAGGAGGCAGGAAGCCAGCTGTCAGGAAACCTGGAGAAGCCTATTCCAGGCAGAGGGAACAGTCACTGCAAAGACCCTGACAGAAGGGGCCAGTCTGGCTGGAGAGGACCGAGTGTGGGGACAGACTGGCTTGAGGCTAAAGAGGTAATGGGCAGTGGGAGAGAGATCAATTAAAGTACTTGGATTTGGATTCAGAGCAAGATGGGAAGCCTTTGGAGGTTTTGAACAGAGGAGTCACATGATCTTAGATCTCACAAAGGTCTCTGTCTCTGGTGTTCAAATAGACTGTAGGAAAGGGGCAAAGTGGATGCAGTTGACCAGCTGGGCAGCCACTGCATTGCCATAATCCAGGCAAGGGCTCCTGGCTGCTTAGACAGGGCTGTGGCAGTGGGGATGGGAGGAGTAGTTGGAGTCTGGATATCTTTGAAGGAATAGCTGACAGGATTTGCTGATGGACAGGATGCAAGGGGTAAGAAACGGGGAGGAGTGGAGGACGCCCTGAGTTTTCTGACACAACAAGGTTGTGCCCACACAGGGCAGCCACTTGCAAACTCTAAGTGGAGAACAATCACTTGTCATTGTTGCTGATGGCAGTCTTCCAGCATGGCTGTCACCCAACTGAGGTGCTCCCGTCTCTTGCCTCAACTTTTAGCCTCTTCTACTTCACCTTCTCTCCCCATTTCCATGTCTCATGGTGCAGCCAGACTGGCCTTCCTTAACAGAATTAGAGCACGTCACCCCCACTTCTTAAAAGCCTGACCTTCCTTATGAGACAAATCCCCTTCCCTCCATGGAGTTAGTCCTTCAAAACACACCTGCGTGCACACTGTGTGCCAGACTGTGCAGAAGGTAGGCTCTGCACCTGTCCCTCCCTCTAGACCCTGCCCCACAGCATTTCTCCAAGCCAAGAACTCTTGGTTGTTTCTGGAATTTACCCTGCACAGTGACACCTATGTCCTTTTGCTCATGCGGTTCCCACTGTTTAGAAATTCTCACTCCTTTCCTCACCTGGCAATACCATTCACTGCCCAGAGCCCACCGCAGGCAGGCGGCGTCTCTTCCACGTAGTCTGCCCTGCATCTTCCTTCCAGAGGGGCTGCTCCTCTTGCTGGCCTCCCACAGCAGCCCTGCCTGAACTGCACAGCCTCTTAAGGAGGCTGGACTTGCACCCCAATCCTGTTCTTCATTGTCAGCCATATTGGATTAGGATCTGATCTTGTCCAGCTAGGTCTGGTCCACTTTTCAGAACATCTCCCCCAGGCAGTCCGAACTAGCTCGTCATTCATTGGCTTTTGTAGAGCAGACCAAAGGTCCCAGAAGCCATAGGGTCTCAAAGGCTAGGAATTGTCCAGTTCCATCTGATATCCAGAAGGGAAATACAGCCCATGGGGCGTGGAACTGGGAAGATTCCACAGAGGACTGGTGTCTATGAGAGGGACCCACAGCAACCTTGCTAACAAGTAATACCTAACAGTTATTCAGCCTTTCCAGACACCAGGTGCTGTGCTAAGTATTTTACATGTGTTCAGCCATTTAATCCTCACAATAACTCACCTCTTAGATGAGAAAACTGAGGCCCAAACAGGTGAAACTCCCAGCCAGTAAGTAGCAGAGCCAGGCTTCAGATGCAGTTAATCTGGTTTCAAAGTCCATGCTCTATCTTAGCAACATCCACGCTCTATCGTAGCAACTACACCATTGTGACTAAATATGAAATATAACTGTACCCAGAACCAGCTGCCCTGATGGCAACACATGAGTTGGGCTCTCTCTAATCTGTGACCATATAAAAATTATTCATCAAAGGTGAAACCTAAAATTAAGACATGGATCAATATACTGTGAGTTAATCACTGATTCTTTTACTCATGATTTTCTCTCTAGTAGGGAATCATGTCCTAGTCTAGGCTCCTTGAGTGACCAGGGTTCGGTACCTCCTCAAAGCCACCCGTGGATCAATAACAGCTCTTGTTTAAATACAGATAGATAGCATAATCTCTTCCTCATTAATCATGGATTCTGTGTTTATAAATTCACCTGCTTGCTAAAATGTCCTTATAACCCCCAAATCAATACTGGTGGCACTTTCATGGTCACACACAGGCAGGTACAGAGCAGGGGAAGCTGGATTTGCATGATGGGCATGTTCCATCTGAGATCCGGCGAGGCAACCTCTCTCTTCTTGTTTCATCTCTGATGTTTACAAGTGTCCTCTTCGCGGTCTATTTAGTGCCGTGTGTTCTGCATTTTTGTGCTTTTTGTAGTGATGTCACTGTTTAGAGCGAACCCAAGAGTAGCGCTGCTGTCTGGCGTTCCTGAGCTAAACAGGCTGTGCTGTGCCTTACGGGGAAGGTGCCTGTGTGAGACAAGCTTGGATGAGGCAGGAGCTGCAGTGCTGCTGGCCGTGCATTTGGTGTTGAAAAATCCACATAATAGCACATTCAGAAAAAGGAGAAGGAAATTGGCCGATTCATACATGAGGCTGTGATAGAAAGGGCTAAAGTAACACCTATTGTGTGGGATGGAGCCGTGGAAGTCTCTTTCAACAGAAACCCACACATAAAAGAAGGTTGATGAAAATGTTGTGGCCAGAGGTTTGCAAAAACCTAACCCAGTATTTCCCCCTTGAGTGATGACCCTGTATTCTCTAATTCAGTACTCACGGGGGCTTTATCAGAAGCAACTGCCAGGACTACCGAAAATCAATTGTGGACACACAGAGGAAAATGCATGCACTTCAAATTGAAATATATAGACATGTAATTTTACATAGATAATACATGTATTTCAATATGAGTGAAGATTTCTTCCTCTCCTCATCACCTGAGCAGTGTCAGCCTCTGCCTGAAGTTCTGCCCCTGAGTCATGGAGACCTACCCCCCTAAGTTAGGATCCTGAGCATGTGCAGCCATGGCGCATGGCCATGCCGGTCTATGGTACTGGTCTCACCCTCAGACAGGCAGAGTTGGGGACATGGGTGTGACTAGGGAGGGAATCACAGGTGCTGCACTGCTCTCTCCCCAGAGTCAACCCCTTCTGGGCACTGTGATTGATGGGATGCTGCTGCTGAAAACACCTGAAGAGCTTCAAGCTGAAAGGAATTTCCACACTGTCCCCTACATGGTCGGAATTAACAAGCAGGAGTTTGGCTGGTTGATTCCAATGGTGAGAAGGCACATGTCTGTTGGAGGGACTCAACCACCCCCATCAGCCCTCCTGTCTCTGGTCCCAGGAATGCTTCCCTCTCCGAGCTGCACTCTGAGTCCTGGGCAGCTGTTCCCTTCAGCAGGAGTTAACATTTCCACGGAAATCTTCTCCAGGAGGGCACAGTTTTCACCGGGGTATCAGGGCCCTGGGATTCCCTCTCCCCAGACTCTCTTATTGTCTTCCTATTGAAGAATCCTGAAGTGTCTGTGCTGGGAGGGCCAGTAGAGAAAATAACTCTGCAGATGGGAAAACGGAGGGGGCCTAGAAGGGGGAAGGAGTGGAGGAGTCCGGAGAAGCAGTCGGGGGCTTCCTGGCTTCCCACCTCGGGCTGGGTGTGCGTAATTCCCCTGAAAATCACTCATGCTCTTCATCACCTCATTGAAAATATCCAAAGAAAGTGGCTTCTTCTTGAGTTACCATTGACTTCTAGGGAACAGCAGACATCAGCGTCTACTAAGAGAGTGGATGGTCAGAGGAAGATGAGGATGGAAAAGCTACCTAATCGGGTGCTATGCTCAATACCTGGTAACAAAATAATCTATACAGCAAACTCCAGAGACCCAAATTACCCATGATCAAACCTGCACAGTTACCCCCAAACCTAAAATAAAAGTTGGAAACAAATAAATGGAAAAAGTAATTGAGTTCTAAAAGTAAAGAAGTGTTCTCCTTCCAGTTGAAGATAAACAAAACTGACCCTGGTTAAAGCAGTAGGACAGATTTATTCAGTAATATGATTGCAATAGGGGAAATAGTCCAGCGTGGAGTGGACTCACATCCCTGAAACAAAAGCCTGATGACGTTTCATAGGCCAGGTGTGCCAAGGGAAACACTGTGGTCTATGGGGAGAGGCTTGGTTCATGTGACTAGACCACCTGGATGTCTTCATCCTGGCTCACCTGGGGCAGAAACAAACTCCTCTTATCTTTAGGACAGGAAGCCATGCATTAGACCGCAGGAAGAACCCACTGAAGTCAGGCTCTACTCTTTCGACAGGGACTGGGAAGATCAGGAGTGAGCTCCCTGAATGTTTGCATTGCAAAGAGAAGGCTCTCAGGTCCTCAAGGAAATGGGGTTGGGTGGTAGATTCACATCCCAAAGGGCAGAGAAAGTGTTTATCATTGCAGGCTTCTAAAGTAACTGCTCTAGTTGGGTTCGGGGACCTGGCTGCTTGTCTCCAGGTTTTGGCTGGAGCAGAGTAAATTGTCCTGGCAGGGTTGAGCCTTCCCAGGCAGTTATGTTAAGGATACTGGGGTCATTCTAGGGACACAGCCTTAAGCTGCTAGAAGCAATGCTAGAGATTGGTCGAGTCCCTGAGTGCAGAGGTTTGGGAAGAGTTGTTATGTGCGTAGAGATGTGCAGTTCGCCCCTCAGAAGGATTTCAGAGGTTATACCAAAGACCAAAGCCACGAAGACAGGATTTAAGGATTTCAGTGTCATCTGTGACAGGTGGGGGTACTAGGGAGGTCTACATCCTCTTCCCCAGAGCCCTCTATTCCACACTGGCCTGGCAGACACCTTGCATCTCCATGTCACTGACCACTGTAGGGATCCCAGCCACAGACACACACACACACACGCGCGCACACACACACACTGCAAAACACTGCCACAGCTTCTCTGAAATTTTGTTTTTTGTTTTTTTTTTTTGTAAACTTTGCAATGCTTGAGTTTCTGGATATAAGCCCATTTGATTCATTGATTTCACCCATTTCAGTAAAGACTCATGCCCTTAAAAGCCCCCATAATTAGAGGACTTTCAGACTGCATTGGTTTGGTTGGTTGGTCAGTTTGTTTCTTATCATTAATTCCCAATGATTCATAAATGCTGAACTTTTTTTTTTTTTTTAGCAGTTGATGAGCTATCCACTCTCCGAAGGGCAACTGGACCAGAAGACAGCCATGTCACTCCTGTGGAAGTCCTATCCCCTTGTTGTAAGAGTCTAGGAATCATGGGAATTGGCTGAGACCCAGAGAGGGACAAGGACTTGCCCAAATCATAGAGCAATTAAATGGCAGAATGAAGACTGGGGCCTCAGGGTTTCCCCCATCTTTCCACCTTTCCCACTTCATTTTCCACCCTAGCGGGGAGTTGCACAGGGCTTATGGGGTTCACCATTGAGGCAGGACTTTCTGGTGGGCTGGAGAAGCTGCATCGCTCACCCGGGGCTGGTGGTCACTTTTTGATCTATTTCAGTGCATTGCTAAGGAACTGATTCCAGAAGCCACTGAGAAATACTTAGGAGGAACAGACGACACTGTCAAAAAGAAAGACCTGTTCCTGGACTTGATAGCAGATGTGATGTTTGGTGTCCCATCTGTGATTGTGGCCCGGAACCACAGAGGTGAGTCCCAGAGGTCGAACGGGAGGGACACAAACCCCACGAGCTTCTGTATCTGACCCACCTACCTCCCAGCATAGACAGACATGGAAACAGCTGAGGGTCAGGCCTCAAAGGCTGATTCCATATGGCATGGGATGAGGTGCTGTCTTATTTTGGTTTATGCCAGCAGAAGACTGTGAGAAAAAAAAATCCAGAGGCAAGTGGTTTTTTTAAGGTGATGATCCCAGATAACAGCAGTAGGGAGGTGGGGAAGTGAGAGAGGAAAGAGATGGAATCCAATCCAAGATGCGTTGTCAAGGGAGTATCCACTGTGGACAACTGGAGCGGGGAAACTCAAGGAAACACCAAGAATACAGGGCTCAGGGGCATCCCATCTGAGTGGCAAGGGAGCCGGGTATTTATTCACCAGCTTCTACTTGTCATTGGTTGAAGGCTCTTGCAAGGAATTGTTTATTCCCTGTGACTTCGACCTGCTGCACACAAGGGCAGAGTAGTCTCTTGTGACCAGACAAAGGCCTCAGGCCTGGAGCTGCAGATGCTGGAGGTGGAAGTCAGGCTGGCATGCCCAGGAAGAGGGGATATAGGTGAGACCCTGGCAGCATCTGCTGCAAGGGCTCCATGCCTGGAGTTATTGTGGGACATAGGGCTGCTGTAGGACAAATATTGAAAGATGAGTCGTGGAAGGGTTTTAAGGTCTGAGCCAGCTGCAAACAAGTTTGTTAAGTATTGGAGCTGGATAAAAAGTGGGAGCCCTGCATGGGATCCAGAGGATTGTCCAGGACCAAGAAGGCCAGAGAGAGGAGCCAGGGCGGGTGTGGGAGAGGTGGTCTGTAGAATGGCAGTGTCTGAGGGTGGTTTTTATGCATCTCAGTGCGTGCAGTAGCATGCAAGCACAGGGCAAGGGCAGGGTCTATGCAGGACCTGCTACCACTGACCCAAGGCTGTGTGGGTGGGGCATGACGTTAGGGATGTGTGTGCTCACCTAGAGAGGAGTGTCTGTTCCTGCGTGCCAGCTAGAGGAGATTCACAGGATTCCTTTTCTTCCAGCTCTCATTCGCCTAGTCTGCAAGCTAGGAAATGTCCTCTCTCTAACCATGCTGGAAGGGTTTTTAAATTTAGAACTTCATAAGCATGATAAAAACTAGCTAACGCTTAACTAGCAGGTGCCCTGACACACCTTTGCACAGGAAGGGGCAGGTGCTCATAACCCTCATTTCTTCACAGGGTCCTGATAAAAACCTTTAACCAAGACCACTGGAGTTGAATCTGTTCTTTCTTAAACTTGCCCTTGCCCTATGCTCTGCGTCTGAACTATATATAGAGTTCCCATCTCCATTTTCTGATGGTTTGAGCAATACTGAACTTATGTTTTTCATCTGGTTTCCCATGACTTTAAGTTCAGGGCTTTTTTTTTTTTTTTTTTTTTTGCCAGGACTACACAGATTTTATCTACTTTCACTTATTGTTGTCTCACTCTTTTTGATAAAATAACATTTCTGAATATAAAATTAATATGTTAAATTATAGAAACTTTCAAAAATATGGAAACACAAAAAGAAGAAACTATGTATCACTCATTTCCACTACCTGGAGGCAAGTGCTATAAATTTTTTGTGTTTTCGTCTAAAGATTTTCCATGTCCTATATACTTTAAAAATCAATTTTATATTTTACTTTTGTTCATAGAACACTATGTTGTGAGGATTTTCTCAATGTTGATACAAACTCATCAAAGCATTCCTTATTCCATGAAATGGCTGTGTTAAATAGACTTTAATATTCATATCCTATTAGATGTTTAGCCTGGCTACTCACATTCTGATGCTACAATAACATTGAGCTCAGCCTAATGTTCATAAGTCTCTAAACACATGTCTAATAATTTTCTTAGGATTATTTTTAGAAGTAAATAACTAGGTTGGACAATGCAAATGTTTTAGAACTTTGGGCAAATATTGTAAAATTGCATTCCACTGCATAAGAATGTGGATTTCTTAATTCTCTTTCTCATTTGGGATGCTAAGATTAAAAATTAGCATAACACTTCCAGTTTCATAAGCCTTCCCCACCAACAAGAAGCACATCAGCCTGTTTTAATCTGCATGTCCTCCATGACTAGCCCTCTCATTGTCTCTGCTTCTCTTATTATGTCTAATTGTCATTACCCAAATCTGTGCGCTACTTTCCTCTGAAGACTTGTGTTGTGATTGTAAGAATTGTATAAATATCAATGGCTTTAGCCAAAGAGTTTTACAAAGTACGTTTTGGGCAGCATGCTGCCTATAATAAGTTCTATCATTCACAAAAGCTCTTTCTTCTATGGTTGGCTCTGAGTTTCTTTGGAAAATGTTCGAGGGGCAAAGGCAAGGTCAAACCCTCCTTTTAGCAAGTTTTGTTTGACCTTGAAGCAGCCATTTAACAGGTGGATTACAGAGCCACAGAAGGATGGCATCTTCCCAGGTGCGCTTCCTGCTGAGCCGAGGGTGCAGTGCAGGAGGCTGACAAAGATGAGTGAATAGATTATTCTTCATTCTCACATTGAAATGACATGTGCGGGTGGGGCATGAGGTTAGGGATGCGTGAGCTCCCATTGTTAAATCCTTTTGTGAACGAATTTTTAATGATGTTAAGAAATGATGGCTGGAGGCGGTGGCTCTTGCCAACACTCTCAGCATTTTGGGAGGCTGAGGTGGGAGGATTATGAGAGCCTAGGATTTCAAGATCAGCCTGGGCAGCATAGTGAGACCCTGTCTCTACAAAACAATTTAAAAGGGAAGTGATTACAGTGTACTACAAAATACCATATATAATATCATCCCCAGTTAAATACATAAAAGAGAGATATGCTAAAATAAAAAAGAAGCATTCTCTGAGTGGTAGAGTTATGAGTGATACTTTAAATTTGATTGTTAAAATTGATTTTTAAATTATATAGGATATGGAAAAATTTTAGAAGGAAATACAAAAAATGCATGGCCCTTGCCTCAGGTAGTGGAATTATGAGTGATATCTAGTTTTGCTTTATGCGTTTCCATATTTTTGTTTCTTCTAATTATTCCTAATTGTTTTTATTTTCCAAATTTCTTACTGTACCCAAAGGGGAGGACATTGTAAATTTTCTCCACCAGCCTGGCATTGCCCTGACTCTTTCCGTCTTAGTGTCACTTCTCAGTGGGTATCATGACCAGTGCAAAGTGCTGAGGCACAGGGCCAGGCGGCCCACGAGGTAGCCCTGAAGGGGCAGCGATCTGTGGCTCCAATGAGCCAATCATTGGGAAACTGGCATCTTCCTGGGGCTGGGACAGGAGAGCTTTGTTGGTGGGAGAGGAGGGCAGAGCCGAAGGAGAGAGGGCAGGGGAGAGGCAAGGTCACCCTTGCTCAGCGCCTTCTTTTCTCTGCCAGGGCTTTACTGCCTTAACACCCTAACACTCCCAGGCCAGGCAGGCAGCAAGACACATGGGGACAGTGAGCTATAAAGCAGTGAGTGCCGCAGGTTCCTGAGACACAAGAGGCAGATTGTTCCCTCTCTGCATATGTTTGTATTTAAATAGCCTCATGTTCAGACAAGCAACTTGGATTTGCTTCAGTCTTCTCAGGATGGGTGAGAAAAACACTGGAAATGCTCAAAACGAGGCAGAACAGAAGACACCTGTCATGGTGGAGATGGCATCCAAGTGAATGAACGCGAGTCTGTTATCAATGAATTATATCCGGTGTAACCAGATGTAGAGAGATTGTCTTGTGTGAGAATGCACCAGCAGGCAAAGGGGTTTACGAGGCAGAGTCAGGGTCCCTGCACCGGCAGCTGTTTTAAATGAATTGACCCAGGGTTTCCACATTCATTCATTAAACATTTGTTCATTGAACAAATATTTGGCTCTAATTCCGCTTCCACCTCAGACAGCTATGCAGCCCGGAGCACATCACTGAGCTTTCCTGAGACTCTGTTTCTCTACTGTGCTGACAGCCAGAGGTTTGCTGCAGAGCTGGAGACCTTGGTAGCCTCCAGGTGTGTGTCTGGCAACATGAACTGTGCATGAATCCTTGTCTTCTCAGATGCTGGAGCACCCACCTACATGTATGAGTTTCAGTACCGTCCAAGCTTCTCATCAGACATGAAACCCAAGACGGTGATAGGAGACCACGGGGATGAGCTCTTCTCCGTCTTTGGGGCCCCATTTTTAAAAGGTAATGCTCCTTCCTGTCTGTGAGCTAGGAGTTAGAGACTTGGGTTCCAGTCTTGGTGTGGTGGCCTTCAGCAATTTTGTCCTCTCCTGGTCTTAGTTTCCTGATTCTGTATAACAGGGTTGAATGTCACTGGGTTGTCCGCCGGCTTCCTCCCACTCTAACACATGTGAGGAGGGATGTGTATTCATGTGCCCTCTGCACAGACGCTCAGAATCCTGCTGTGTGACATCAAGACAGGTGGTGGTGGGGGTCTCCTGCAGGATTCACTATGACAGGGTTGAATGTCACTGGGTTGTTCCCCGGCTTCCTCCCGCTCTAACACACCTGAGGGAGGATGTGTATCATGTACCCTCTGCCACAGACACTCAGAATCCTGGGCTGTGTCATCAACAAGATAGGCGGTGGGACACATGCGGGGCCCTGCTCTAGGTTGAGAAGCCACCAATCAATTTCCCTCTCCCAGGAGCGCTGAGACAGTGAGTGAGGGTGAGATTAGAATTGGTGTTAACCCTAAGTCAGGTCTAATGTGTGCCTGTTTGTCTTTCTGTCTGTCTCTAACAAAAACTCATAAACCTTTACATTTAGTACATTTAATAATTGTTGATTTAGAATTCACAGGATGTATGAATTTGGAACAGGAGAAGAGAATATTTTTTATATGGTTTATAGTCAGCAAGGTGGCCATCCCACAGGCTGGGAAGGTGCCTCTGGCCAAGCCCAGAAACGGGCTCATTGGAGGAGGGGTTGGGTAGGAGCTTTATGTGAACGGATTGGCTAAACATACATGTTCAACAGGTTACAGGGGGAGCAATGGATATTCATGAAGACAGTCCTGACACATGTGTATTAAACAAACATGTATGTAACATGGCCCATGTTCACCTGGTGGTGGAGACCTAATATTTAAATGTATTACAATTAGGGCCTGTAAGTCCAAAGGTCTTCTCAGGACACGAAGCTCAGCAAGTGAGGAGCTTCTGTACACCGGCCAGGTCCAGTCCATGGCTGGTGATGTTCTTATCTGGAGAAAGTTACTGAAATCAGTCTCTTATGCAATCAAAGCAGTAGTTAAGTCTGGCAAGTCAGGGTTCTGTTTGTCTGCGTATCCCAGCTGCAGCCGTTGTTATTGTTTTCCTTTTGCTTAGCTCCAGGCCAGTGCTGGTTTAGCTGCTAGAGAAAGAGAAGCACCTCGTGGCAGTGAGAACAAAGTGGATTCTTTTTTTTTTTTATTATTATACTTTAAGTTTTAGGGTACATGTGCACATTGTGCAGGTTAGTTACATATGTATACATGTGCCGTGCTGGTGCGCTGCACCCACTAACTCGTCATCTAGCATTAGGTATATCTCCCAGTGCTATCCCTCCCCCCTCCCCCCACCCCACCACAGTCCCCAGAGTGTGATATTCCCCTTCCTGTGTCCATGTGATCTCATTGTTCAATTCCCACCTATGAGTGAGAATATGCGGTGTTTGGTTTTTTGTTCTTGCGATAGTTTACTGAGAATGATGGTTTCCAATTTCATCCATGTCCCTACAAAGGACATGAACTCATCATTTTTTATGGCTGCATAGTATTCCACGGTGTATATGTGCCACATTTTCTTAATCCAGTCTATCATTGTTGGACATTTGGGTTGGTTCCAAGTCTTTGCTATTGTGAATAATGCCGCAATAAACATACGTGTGCATGTGTCTTTATAGCAGCATGATTTATAGTCATTTGGGTATATACCCAGTAATGGGATGGCTGGGTCAAATGGTATTTCTAGTTCTAGATCCCTGAGGAATCGCCACACTGACTTCCACAATGGTTGAACTAGTTTACAGTCCCACCAACAGTGTAAAAGTGTTCCTATTTCTCCACATCCTCTCCAGCACCTGTTGTTTCCTGACTTTTTAGAGATGCAGGCCTGAACCCTTGCCCGACGTGGCCTTAGGTCTCGTTTTTAATTTGGTGTCTTATTGCCACAAAGAGTGTGTTCTGTCAGAATGATGACCTTCATTTTATTGCTGATGCTGGTCCGGTGGTGTCTAAATCACAAAAGGGAGGGAGTATTATGAGGCGTGTCTGACCTCCTGTCCGTTCCCAGGCAGGAACAGAGTTGAAGGTTTTTCGAGGCTCCCCTTAGCCCAGAGAGGGTCTGTTCAGTCAGTTGGGGGTGTCAGGATTTTATTTTTAGTTTACATTATACAATAGTTTAAAAAATCCTTTCACGGTGTCTTCTAAGTCTTAACTCTCAGCAGTTACAGATCAGATGGGACTCACCCCATGGCTGCTCAGAACGCACCAGCGCCTCTGGGCATCTCACTGTGCATGCTTAGGCGCCTTGCGGCTCTGTTGTTTTTCAGAATGTGAATTGTGGGTGTGTGCTGGGGAGGGAGAAAAGACCCAAGAGAGAGCAACCCTGGAAAGTGGGGTTGCTGTAGAGGAAACCCTGGGGTGGGGCATTTCCTGTGACCCTGAGCGGGGAGGAGGCAGGCGAGGGTCACAGGAGACAAAGGCAGCCAGCCAATGGAATGACGCATGCCCATTGCTGAGCCCTAGGTCAGATATGCTGAAAGGTAAAGTACACACAAATCCACCACGATCTTCTAAAAGTGCAGACCTCAGCTCAGTGGGTGTGGGGCATGTGCCAAGACTATGTTTCCAGCAGACTCGCATGTGATGTTGACGCTGCAGTCCACGGACCACACTTTGAGTAACAAAGGCTTTTTTTCTTCTTCCCCACAGAGGGTGCCTCAGAAGAGGAGATCAGACTTAGCAAGATGGTGATGAAATTCTGGGCCAACTTTGCTCGCAATGGGTGAGGCTGGTGGCAAAGACAGAGCACGGCTGGTGAGGGTGGGGGGCGGGGCATGCCTATTGGGAAGGGGCAGCTTCTAAGGTTCTAGTGATCAAACTTCTGACCCTGTGACCATAGCACTCTGATAATGAGAGCTCTCTGCAAACGGAGAGGCCGCCCCTGGAGATAGTGAGCTCTCCATCTCTGGAGGTATACAAGCCTCTTGACAGAGATAACTTGGGCATCCTCACACATCTCTGAAGATTGTTGGGAACACACAGCAGCTTTGGGGCAATTCTAATTGATTCTGTTTCCAGAAACCCCAATGGGGAAGGGCTGCCCCACTGGCCAGAGTACAACCAGAAGGAAGGGTATCTGCAGATTGGTGCCAACACCCAGGCGGCCCAGAAGCTGAAGGACAAAGAAGTAGCTTTCTGGACCAACCTCTTTGCCAAGAAGGCAGTGGAGAAGCCACCCCAGACAGAACACATAGAGCTGTGAATGAAGATCCAGCCGGCCTTGGGAGCCTGGAGGAGCAAAGACTGGGGTCTTTTGCGAAAGGGATTGCAGGTTCAGAAGGCATCTTACCATGGCTGGGGAATTGTCTGGTGGTGGGGGGCAGGGGACAGAGGCCATGAAGGAGCAAGTTTTGTATTTGTGACCTCAGCTTTGGGAATAAAGGATCTTTTGAAGGCCAAATTGGTGCTTGTGTCTTGTACTGGAGATTAATACTTTGTCCTCAGAGACAGAACGGTGATGAAAGAGGCGACGTGAGAAGGAAGGTGGCTTTGCTGGGGATGGCCTGGTCTCAGGATGAGCAGAGTCCAGAGGGCTGGGTCATGGACGGTGCTCAGGGGAGCTCTGGGCCTGATGCACCTTTCTGGGCCCCCAACAATTTCCAACAATACGAGTTGGGGTGGCCAGAGTGCAGGATCCCTACCCTCTATTTGGAGTTGCCCATGGAAATGGAAGTGGCCCAGGCTGAGAATGAGTCTGGATCAGGGAAGAGGGAGACGTGCTGAGGTGATCCCGTGGCACTGTTGCATGGCACTTACTGACCATTGCACAGGCCTGCAACACCTTTCTGAGTATGTACACTAGCCTCCCATACCCCTCCATGAGGTTGTCTCTTCCACCAACTGGTCGAAACTCCTTCTGTAGCCTGGACCACTTCTGGTGTGGGCAGTGACCACCTTGGAGGTGGTCCATTCTTCTCCAGAGGGTCATCCTAAACTGTGTCTTTCAGAATCCCATGGGTGATTTCTGGATTCTGTTAGTACGTAGAAAGCTCTAAAGCATGTCATTCCCGCCTTATCAGCAAGAGGAAGCCGGATTGTCCTCAAAATCATAACTTTTCCTGCACCAAAGAGCTGAAGTTGCAAGGCACATGGTTCCCTCGAAATCGAAGGGAAGACAAGCACCTGGGGGAGTGGTGGGATGTGAACACTGGCTTACTTCTCACCTGCAGGCAGGAGACGGCGTGACCATAATGAGCAGAAATACTCTATGAATTTTATTCAGTGCTGAAGGCCAAGGGTGGGCCACTGTGAGAGTATAAAACCTCTGGGAACCATGGACCCATGGGGAGTTGACTCCCATCACAGACTCTACTCCATGGGTATTTATCAGGGCCCATGAGAAAGATTGGGGTAGACAGTGAGACTGGAGAAAGTCTGCCTTCAGGAATGCAGGCATGAGCCCTGCTGACACCCTTCACCCCTAAAGAACAAAATCCTTCAATCATTGCGGAATGGCCAGGAAATCTTGTCCTCCTCAAGGTACTGGTAGAGACATATTGAGGTTGAAGATAAGGAACCTTTTAAAACTCTATACCCCTTGGAGAGGGACAGGGAGTCATCTTGGGCCCAGATTATCGGTCTTTTACTGCTGGGGATGGTCAGTATCTCTGACAAACCTCCATCTCCAACAGCAAGAAATGAAGGTCCTGCCTAAGGTTGAGGCTGGACCACGACAAGAGCAGGCACTCCTGGCTGCTACCATGGAGTTAGCCAGTCCCAGGTAACAGAAATCTGCTGCTGGGAGAGAGAGCAAAGCATGCAGATCAACCCTCTTGTAAAAGCAGGTGCACAGGACAGGCCTAAAGCTGAGAGTGGAACAAGACATTAGGAAAATCGTTCAGAAAACCGGCCTTTACACAAGCACACCAGAACCAGCACAAGGTAGCACTGGAAGCATTTGAAGCAGATGGTGCATTGATGATAGCCATAGCAACAACAAAACTATTCCCCGATCACCACACTCGAAATACACACGCACACACACACACACACGCATGCATGTACACACAAAATCAGTCTAGCAGCAGAAGAAAAGATATGTCCACTTCCTGTCACGGATACTACTTACTTCAGTTTCAACTCACTTACCCATGATGTCAAGTATTGAATTCAAAATTGCAAACCTTATAAAGGAAGCAACACCTATGAACAAGAGACAAAGCAGTTGGGCACAGTGGTGCATGCCTGTAGTCCCAGCTACTTAGGAGGCTGATGCAGGAGGATTGCTTGAACCTGTGAGTTCAAGGCTGTAGTGCACTGTAATTGCACCTATGAATAACCACCTGCACTCTAGTCATGGTATTATGGTGAAATAGCATCGCTTAGAGTGAGAGAGAGAGAGAGAGACAGACAGACAAATCAATCAACAGAACCAGATTCAGAGATAACCTAGGTGTTAGACTAACAGACTGGGAATTTAAAATAACTATATGGAATACTTCCATGAACAGATGGCTAGTTTCAGCAGAGAGGTAGAAACTATGAGAAAGAAGCAAATAGAAATGTTAGAAATGAAAAAAAATAGTAACAGAAATTAGAAATGCCTCTAATGGATTCATCAGTAGATCTGACACAGCTGACGAATGAATGAGTGTAGCAGAAGACAGGCCAATATAAATTACCCAACTTAAAATGAAGAAAATCAGTGAAAAAAAAACAAAACAGGGAATCAAAGAACTGTCAGATAATATCCAATGGTCCAACATATGCATAACTGGAATCCCAGAAAGAGAAGACAAAGCAGGCAGAAGAAAATATTTGAAGAGATAATGGCTGAGAATTTTCCAAAAGTAATGAAAAACATCAAGGCATACGTCCAAGAGCCTGGAAAACCCCAAGCAGGATTCAACAACAACAGCAACAACAGCAACAAAAACATACACATTTAGACACACACTGAGAAAATATTGAAGGCAGCCAGAGGAAAAAGACATTGCATACAAAGAAAGGGATTAGAGCAGATTTTTCACTGGAAACTATGCAAGCCAAAAAATAATGGAGTGACACCTTTAAAGTATTCAAACGAAAAAAATCTTTGCAGAATTCTATATCCAGAAAAAACACTGTTCAAAAAATACAGGGAAAAATGTTTTCAGATGAACAATAGAGAGAATTTATACTTACATACTTGTGCTACCAAAAATGTAAAAGGAAATTCTCTACGCAAAAGGTATATGATACAGGATAAAAACTTTGATATTTATCAAAGAAGTGAAGCTCTACATATAGCTTTAAAATAAAGGTAATGTAGGCTATTTTTCCTATATTTAATTACTGTTTAAAACAAAAATAGCACCAATGAACTGTGGATTTAGAGCATACGTAAGAATAAAATATACAACAAAAATAATATGAAAGATGAGAGACAGGTATTTGAAGCACACTTTTGTAAGATTCTTACACTCTGTGTAATTGGTATTGTCTGAAGGTATAAGGTGATTAATGTATATTGTATGTATATTGTATACCCAGGAAAACCAATAAATAATTTTAAAAGGAGACATGAATAATAACACAATAGAGGAGATAACATGAAATCATAAATACTCGCTACACGAGCAAGCAGACAGAAGAAGAACAAAGACACAGGAACAAATGAAAAAGTACTGCAGAAGTGACAGATTTTAATCCAACCGTATCAATAACTATACTACACAAAAATGATGTAAACACACCAATTAAAAATGATTTTCAGATTGGATTAAAGAAAACACAAAACGCAACCTAACGCTGCGTCGTAGTTAGTCCAAATTCACGTTTCAGTGTTTGACTCCTGGTGGCTTTTAAGCCTCAGCCTTCCCTTGTCCCCTCTTGCTGACACCTGGAAAGCTGATAAGAAAGCCTGGGTGCTTCCTCCTTTGTTGCTGGAGGAAAATTCAAAGCTTACCGTGAGAAAGCTGACCACGGCCCCAGTGCGGAATCCTCATACCACACCTGGTCGTCCTGTCCAAGACAGCGTCCCAGAGCTCCTTGAGCCTCAGCGGGGGGAAGAAACAGCATATTTTTTCCTCCTGGTCCAGAGAGAGGGGAGACGCTACAGAGCAGGGGTCGGTAAGCTGCAGCCCACAGGCCAAACCTGTCAGACCGTGGGATCCTTGGGTCAGGACCAAGGTCAAACTCGTTTTGGGGCTCCCCAAGAAGTGCTGGGCAATGCAACCTGGTGGATGGACTGAGAGCTGCCCAGCAGATGGATCTGTACCCAGGGAAGTGCACATTGGCCTTTGGTGAACAGTCCATGGTACCCTTGAACTCTATAATAATAGCAGTAATAGGCCGGGCGCGGTGACTCGCACCTGTAATCCCAGCACTTTGGGAGGCCGAGGTGGGCGGATCACCTGAGGTTAGGAGTTCGAGACCAGCCTGGCCAACACGGTGAAATCTCATGTCTACAAAAAATACAAAAATTAGCTGGACGTGGTGGCGGGTGCCTGTAATCCCAGCTAGTCGGGGGGCTGAGGCAGGAGAATCGCTTGAACCCGGGAGGCGGAGGTGGCAGTGAGCCAAGATCATGCTACTGCACTCCAGCCTGGGCAACAAGAGTGAAACACCGTCATAAAAGAAAGAAGAAAGAAAGAAGGAAAGAAGGAAAGAAAGAAAGAAAGAGAAAGAAAGAAAGAAGGAAAGAAGGAGAGATAAAGAAAGAAGGAAGGAAGGAAGGAAGGAAGGAAAGAAAGAAAGAAAGAAAGAAAGAAAGAAAGAAAGAAAGAATAATAGCAGTAATAGAAATAACTAAAACTCACTGCATAGTTATTATGTGTTTAATTATAAAATACTCTTCATATTAACTCAGAGAGTCTTCACAGAAACTCTATGAGCAGTTCATTTGGTATCAACCACGTGAACATTACCATGAGGCCCAAGAAAACTGGGCTTTCTCTCTCTTTCTTTCTTTCCTTCTTTCTTTCTTCTTTCTTTTATGACGGCGTTTCACTCTTGTTGCCCAGGCTGGAGTGCAGTAGCATGATCTTGGCTCACTGCCACCTCCGCCTCCCGGGTTCAAGCGATTCTCCTGCCTCAGCCCCCCGACTAGCTGGGATTACAGGCACCCGCCACCACGTCCAGCTAATTTTTGTATTTTTTGTAGACATGAGATTTCACCGTGTTGGCCAGGCTGGTCTCGAACTCCTAACCTCAGGTGATCCGCCCACCTCGGCCTCCCAAAGTGCTGGGATTACAGGTGCGAGTCACCGCGCCCGGCCTATTACTGCTATTATTATAGAGTTCAAGGGTACCATGGACTGTTCACCAAAGGCCAATGTGCACTTCCCTGGGTACAGATCCATCTGCTGGGCAGCTCTCAGTCCATCCACCAGGTTGCATTGCCCAGCACTTCTTGGGGAGCCCCAAAACGAGTTTGACCTTGGTCCTGACCCAAGGATCCCACGGTCTGACAGGTTTGGCCTGTGGGCTGCAGCTTACCGACCCCTGCTCTGTAGCGTCTCCCCTCTCTCTGGACCAGGAGGAAAAAATATGCTGTTTCTTCCCCCCGCTGAGGCTCAAGGAGCTCTGGGACGCTGTCTTGGACAGGACGACCAGGTGTGGTATGAGGATTCCGCACTGGGGCCGTGGTCAGCTTTCTCACGGTAAGCTTTGAATTTTCCTCCAGCAACAAAGGAGGAAGCACCCAGGCTTTCTTATCAGCTTTCCAGGTGTCAGCAAGAGGGGACAAGGGAAGGCTGAGGCTTAAAAGCCACCAGGAGTCAAACACTGAAACGTGAATTTGGACTAACTACGACGCAGCGTTAGGTTGCGTTTTGTGTTTTCTTTAATCCAATCTGAAAATCATTTTTAATTGGTGTGTTTACATCATTTTTGTGTAGTATAGTTATTGATACGGTTGGATTAAAATCTGTCACTTCTGCAGTACTTTTTCATTTGTTCCTGTGTCTTTGTTCTTCTTCTGTCTGCTTGCTCGTGTAGCGAGTATTTATGATTTCATGTTATCTCCTCTATTGTGTTATTATTCATGTCTCCTTTTAAAATTATTTATTGGTTTTCCTGGGTATACAATATACATACAATATACATTAATCACCTTATACCTTCAGACAATACCAATTACACAGAGTGTAAGAATCTTACAAAAGTGTGCTTCAAATACCTGTCTCTCATCTTTCATATTATTTTTGTTGTATATTTTATTCTTACGTATGCTCTAAATCCACAGTTCATTGGTGCTATTTTTGTTTTAAACAGTAATTAAATATAGGAAAAATAGCCTACATTACCTTTATTTTAAAGCTATATGTAGAGCTTCACTTCTTTGATAAATATCAAAGTTTTTATCCTGTATCATATACCTTTTGCGTAGAGAATTTCCTTTTACATTTTTGGTAGCACAAGTATGTAAGTATAAATTCTCTCTATTGTTCATCTGAAAACATTTTTCCCTGTATTTTTTGAACAGTGTTTTTTCTGGATATAGAATTCTGCAAAGATTTTTTTCGTTTGAATACTTTAAAGGTGTCACTCCATTATTTTTTGGCTTGCATAGTTTCCAGTGAAAAATCTGCTCTAATCCCTTTCTTTGTATGCAATGTCTTTTTCCTCTGGCTGCCTTCAATATTTTCTCAGTGTGTGTCTAAATGTGTATGTTTTTGTTGCTGTTGTTGCTGTTGTTGTTGAATCCTGCTTGGGGTTTTCCAGGCTCTTGGACGTATGCCTTGATGTTTTTCATTACTTTTGGAAAATTCTCAGCCATTATCTCTTCAAATATTTTCTTCTGCCTGCTTTGTCTTCTCTTTCTGGGATTCCAGTTATGCATATGTTGGACCATTGGATATTATCTGACAGTTCTTTGATTCCCTGTTTTGTTTTTTTTTCACTGATTTTCTTCATTTTAAGTTGGGTAATTTATATTGGCCTGTCTTCTGCTACACTCATTCATTCGTCAGCTGTGTCAGATCTACTGATGAATCCATTAGAGGCATTTCTAATTTCTGTTACTATTTTTTTTCATTTCTAACATTTCTATTTGCTTCTTTCTCATAGTTTCTACCTCTCTGCTGAAACTAGCCATCTGTTCATGGAAGTATTCCATATAGTTATTTTAAATTCCCAGTCTGTTAGTCTAACACCTAGGTTATCTCTGAATCTGGTTCTGTTGATTGATTTGTCTGTCTGTCTCTCTCTCTCTCTCTCACTCTAAGCGATGCTATTTCACCATAATACCATGACTAGAGTGCAGGTGGTTATTCATAGGTGCAATTACAGTGCACTACAGCCTTGAACTCACAGGTTCAAGCAATCCTCCTGCATCAGCCTCCTAAGTAGCTGGGACTACAGGCATGCACCACTGTGCCCAACTGCTTTGTCTCTTGTTCATAGGTGTTGCTTCCTTTATAAGGTTTGCAATTTTGAATTCAATACTTGACATCATGGGTAAGTGAGTTGAAACTGAAGTAAGTAGTATCCGTGACAGGAAGTGGACATATCTTTTCTTCTGCTGCTAGACTGATTTTGTGTGTACATGCATGCGTGTGTGTGTGTGTGTGCGTGTGTATTTCGAGTGTGGTGATCGGGGAATAGTTTTGTTGTTGCTATGGCTATCATCAATGCACCATCTGCTTCAAATGCTTCCAGTGCTACCTTGTGCTGGTTCTGGTGTGCTTGTGTAAAGGCCGGTTTTCTGAACGATTTTCCTAATGTCTTGTTCCACTCTCAGCTTTAGGCCTGTCCTGTGCACCTGCTTTTACAAGAGGGTTGATCTGCATGCTTTGCTCTCTCTCCCAGCAGCAGATTTCTGTTACCTGGGACTGGCTAACTCCATGGTAGCAGCCAGGAGTGCCTGCTCTTGTCGTGGTCCAGCCTCAACCTTAGGCAGGACCTTCATTTCTTGCTGTTGGAGATGGAGGTTTGTCAGAGATACTGACCATCCCCAGCAGTAAAAGACCGATAATCTGGGCCCAAGATGACTCCCTGTCCCTCTCCAAGGGGTATAGAGTTTTAAAAGGTTCCTTATCTTCAACCTCAATATGTCTCTACCAGTACCTTGAGGAGGACAAGATTTCCTGGCCATTCCGCAATGATTGAAGGATTTTGTTCTTTAGGGGTGAAGGGTGTCAGCAGGGCTCATGCCTGCATTCCTGAAGGCAGACTTTCTCCAGTCTCACTGTCTACCCCAATCTTTCTCATGGGCCCTGATAAATACCCATGGAGTAGAGTCTGTGATGGGAGTCAACTCCCCATGGGTCCATGGTTCCCAGAGGTTTTATACTCTCACAGTGGCCCACCCTTGGCCTTCAGCACTGAATAAAATTCATAGAGTATTTCTGCTCATTATGGTCACGCCGTCTCCTGCCTGCAGGTGAGAAGTAAGCCAGTGTTCACATCCCACCACTCCCCCAGGTGCTTGTCTTCCCTTCGATTTCGAGGGAACCATGTGCCTTGCAACTTCAGCTCTTTGGTGCAGGAAAAGTTATGATTTTGAGGACAATCCGGCTTCCTCTTGCTGATAAGGCGGGAATGACATGCTTTAGAGCTTTCTACGTACTAACAGAATCCAGAAATCACCCATGGGATTCTGAAAGACACAGTTTAGGATGACCCTCTGGAGAAGAATGGACCACCTCCAAGGTGGTCACTGCCCACACCAGAAGTGGTCCAGGCTACAGAAGGAGTTTCGACCAGTTGGTGGAAGAGACAACCTCATGGAGGGGTATGGGAGGCTAGTGTACATACTCAGAAAGGTGTTGCAGGCCTGTGCAATGGTCAGTAAGTGCCATGCAACAGTGCCACGGGATCACCTCAGCACGTCTCCCTCTTCCCTGATCCAGACTCATTCTCAGCCTGGGCCACTTCCATTTCCATGGGCAACTCCAAATAGAGGGTAGGGATCCTGCACTCTGGCCACCCCAACTCGTATTGTTGGAAATTGTTGGGGGCCCAGAAAGGTGCATCAGGCCCAGAGCTCCCCTGAGCACCGTCCATGACCCAGCCCTCTGGACTCTGCTCATCCTGAGACCAGGCCATCCCCAGCAAAGCCACCTTCCTTCTCACGTCGCCTCTTTCATCACCGTTCTGTCTCTGAGGACAAAGTATTAATCTCCAGTACAAGACACAAGCACCAATTTGGCCTTCAAAAGATCCTTTATTCCCAAAGCTGAGGTCACAAATACAAAACTTGCTCCTTCATGGCCTCTGTCCCCTGCCCCCCACCACCAGACAATTCCCCAGCCATGGTAAGATGCCTTCTGAACCTGCAATCCCTTTCGCAAAAGACCCCAGTCTTTGCTCCTCCAGGCTCCCAAGGCCGGCTGGATCTTCATTCACAGCTCTATGTGTTCTGTCTGGGGTGGCTTCTCCACTGCCTTCTTGGCAAAGAGGTTGGTCCAGAAAGCTACTTCTTTGTCCTTCAGCTTCTGGGCCGCCTGGGTGTTGGCACCAATCTGCAGATACCCTTCCTTCTGGTTGTACTCTGGCCAGTGGGGCAGCCCTTCCCCATTGGGGTTTCTGGAAACAGAATCAATTAGAATTGCCCCAAAGCTGCTGTGTGTTCCCAACAATCTTCAGAGATGTGTGAGGATGCCCAAGTTATCTCTGTCAAGAGGCTTGTATACCTCCAGAGATGGAGAGCTCACTATCTCCAGGGGCGGCCTCTCCGTTTGCAGAGAGCTCTCATTATCAGAGTGCTATGGTCACAGGGTCAGAAGTTTGATCACTAGAACCTTAGAAGCTGCCCCTTCCCAATAGGCATGCCCCGCCCCCCACCCTCACCAGCCGTGCTCTGTCTTTGCCACCAGCCTCACCCATTGCGAGCAAAGTTGGCCCAGAATTTCATCACCATCTTGCTAAGTCTGATCTCCTCTTCTGAGGCACCCTCTGTGGGGAAGAAGAAAAAAAGCCTTTGTTACTCAAAGTGTGGTCCGTGGACTGCAGCGTCAACATCACATGCGAGTCTGCTGGAAACATAGTCTTGGCACATGCCCCACACCCACTGAGCTGAGGTCTGCACTTTTAGAAGATCGTGGTGGATTTGTGTGTACTTTACCTTTCAGCATATCTGACCTAGGGCTCAGCAATGGGCATGCGTCATTCCATTGGCTGGCTGCCTTTGTCTCCTGTGACCCTCGCCTGCCTCCTCCCCGCTCAGGGTCACAGGAAATGCCCCACCCCAGGGTTTCCTCTACAGCAACCCCACTTTCCAGGGTTGCTCTCTCTTGGGTCTTTTCTCCCTCCCCAGCACACACCCACAATTCACATTCTGAAAAACAACAGAGCCGCAAGGCGCCTAAGCATGCACAGTGAGATGCCCAGAGGCGCTGGTGCGTTCTGAGCAGCCATGGGGTGAGTCCCATCTGATCTGTAACTGCTGAGAGTTAAGACTTAGAAGACACCGTGAAAGGATTTTTTAAACTATTGTATAATGTAAACTAAAAATAAAATCCTGACACCCCCAACTGACTGAACAGACCCTCTCTGGGCTAAGGGGAGCCTCGAAAAACCTTCAACTCTGTTCCTGCCTGGGAACGGACAGGAGGTCAGACACGCCTCATAATACTCCCTCCCTTTTGTGATTTAGACACCACCGGACCAGCATCAGCAATAAAATGAAGGTCATCATTCTGACAGAACACACTCTTTGTGGCAATAAGACACCAAATTAAAAACGAGACCTAAGGCCACGTCGGGCAAGGGTTCAGGCCTGCATCTCTAAAAAGTCAGGAAACAACAGGTGCTGGAGAGGATGTGGAGAAATAGGAACACTTTTACACTGTTGGTGGGACTGTAAACTAGTTCAACCATTGTGGAAGTCAGTGTGGCGATTCCTCAGGGATCTAGAACTAGAAATACCATTTGACCCAGCCATCCCATTACTGGGTATATACCCAAATGACTATAAATCATGCTGCTATAAAGACACATGCACACGTATGTTTATTGCGGCATTATTCACAATAGCAAAGACTTGGAACCAACCCAAATGTCCAACAATGATAGACTGGATTAAGAAAATGTGGCACATATACACCGTGGAATACTATGCAGCCATAAAAAATGATGAGTTCATGTCCTTTGTAGGGACATGGATGAAATTGGAAACCATCATTCTCAGTAAACTATCGCAAGAACAAAAAACCAAACACCGCATATTCTCACTCATAGGTGGGAATTGAACAATGAGATCACATGGACACAGGAAGGGGAATATCACACTCTGGGGACTGTGGTGGGGTGGGGGGAGGGGGGAGGGATAGCACTGGGAGATATACCTAATGCTAGATGACGAGTTAGTGGGTGCAGCGCACCAGCACGGCACATGTATACATATGTAACTAACCTGCACAATGTGCACATGTACCCTAAAACTTAAAGTATAATAATAAAAAAAAAAAAGAATCCACTTTGTTCTCACTGCCACGAGGTGCTTCTCTTTCTCTAGCAGCTAAACCAGCACTGGCCTGGAGCTAAGCAAAAGGAAAACAATAACAACGGCTGCAGCTGGGATACGCAGACAAACAGAACCCTGACTTGCCAGACTTAACTACTGCTTTGATTGCATAAGAGACTGATTTCAGTAACTTTCTCCAGATAAGAACATCACCAGCCATGGACTGGACCTGGCCGGTGTACAGAAGCTCCTCACTTGCTGAGCTTCGTGTCCTGAGAAGACCTTTGGACTTACAGGCCCTAATTGTAATACATTTAAATATTAGGTCTCCACCACCAGGTGAACATGGGCCATGTTACATACATGTTTGTTTAATACACATGTGTCAGGACTGTCTTCATGAATATCCATTGCTCCCCCTGTAACCTGTTGAACATGTATGTTTAGCCAATCCGTTCACATAAAGCTCCTACCCAACCCCTCCTCCAATGAGCCCGTTTCTGGGCTTGGCCAGAGGCACCTTCCCAGCCTGTGGGATGGCCACCTTGCTGACTATAAACCATATAAAAAATATTCTCTTCTCCTGTTCCAAATTCATACATCCTGTGAATTCTAAATCAACAATTATTAAATGTACTAAATGTAAAGGTTTATGAGTTTTTGTTAGAGACAGACAGAAAGACAAACAGGCACACATTAGACCTGACTTAGGGTTAACACCAATTCTAATCTCACCCTCACTCACTGTCTCAGCGCTCCTGGGAGAGGGAAATTGATTGGTGGCTTCTCAACCTAGAGCAGGGCCCCGCATGTGTCCCACCGCCTATCTTGTTGATGACACAGCCCAGGATTCTGAGTGTCTGTGGCAGAGGGTACATGATACACATCCTCCCTCAGGTGTGTTAGAGCGGGAGGAAGCCGGGGAACAACCCAGTGACATTCAACCCTGTCATAGTGAATCCTGCAGGAGACCCCCACCACCACCTGTCTTGATGTCACACAGCAGGATTCTGAGCGTCTGTGCAGAGGGCACATGAATACACATCCCTCCTCACATGTGTTAGAGTGGGAGGAAGCCGGCGGACAACCCAGTGACATTCAACCCTGTTATACAGAATCAGGAAACTAAGACCAGGAGAGGACAAAATTGCTGAAGGCCACCACACCAAGACTGGAACCCAAGTCTCTAACTCCTAGCTCACAGACAGGAAGGAGCATTACCTTTTAAAAATGGGGCCCCAAAGACGGAGAAGAGCTCATCCCCGTGGTCTCCTATCACCGTCTTGGGTTTCATGTCTGATGAGAAGCTTGGACGGTACTGAAACTCATACATGTAGGTGGGTGCTCCAGCATCTGAGAAGACAAGGATTCATGCACAGTTCATGTTGCCAGACACACACCTGGAGGCTACCAAGGTCTCCAGCTCTGCAGCAAACCTCTGGCTGTCAGCACAGTAGAGAAACAGAGTCTCAGGAAAGCTCAGTGATGTGCTCCGGGCTGCATAGCTGTCTGAGGTGGAAGCGGAATTAGAGCCAAATATTTGTTCAATGAACAAATGTTTAATGAATGAATGTGGAAACCCTGGGTCAATTCATTTAAAACAGCTGCCGGTGCAGGGACCCTGACTCTGCCTCGTAAACCCCTTTGCCTGCTGGTGCATTCTCACACAAGACAATCTCTCTACATCTGGTTACACCGGATATAATTCATTGATAACAGACTCGCGTTCATTCACTTGGATGCCATCTCCACCATGACAGGTGTCTTCTGTTCTGCCTCGTTTTGAGCATTTCCAGTGTTTTTCTCACCCATCCTGAGAAGACTGAAGCAAATCCAAGTTGCTTGTCTGAACATGAGGCTATTTAAATACAAACATATGCAGAGAGGGAACAATCTGCCTCTTGTGTCTCAGGAACCTGCGGCACTCACTGCTTTATAGCTCACTGTCCCCATGTGTCTTGCTGCCTGCCTGGCCTGGGAGTGTTAGGGTGTTAAGGCAGTAAAGCCCTGGCAGAGAAAAGAAGGCGCTGAGCAAGGGTGACCTTGCCTCTCCCCTGCCCTCTCTCCTTCGGCTCTGCCCTCCTCTCCCACCAACAAAGCTCTCCTGTCCCAGCCCCAGGAAGATGCCAGTTTCCCAATGATTGGCTCATTGGAGCCACAGATCGCTGCCCCTTCAGGGCTACCTCGTGGGCCGCCTGGCCCTGTGCCTCAGCACTTTGCACTGGTCATGATACCCACTGAGAAGTGACACTAAGACGGAAAGAGTCAGGGCAATGCCAGGCTGGTGGAGAAAATTTACAATGTCCTCCCCTTTGGGTACAGTAAGAAATTTGGAAAATAAAAACAATTAGGAATAATTAGAAGAAACAAAAATATGGAAACGCATAAAGCAAAACTAGATATCACTCATAATTCCACTACCTGAGGCAAGGGCCATGCATTTTTTGTATTTCCTTCTAAAATTTTTCCATATCCTATATAATTTAAAAATCAATTTTAACAATCAAATTTAAAGTATCACTCATAACTCTACCACTCAGAGAATGCTTCTTTTTTATTTTAGCATATCTCTCTTTTATGTATTTAACTGGGGATGATATTATATATGGTATTTTGTAGTACACTGTAATCACTTCCCTTTTAAATTGTTTTGTAGAGACAGGGTCTCACTATGCTGCCCAGGCTGATCTTGAAATCCTAGGCTCTCATAATCCTCCCACCTCAGCCTCCCAAAATGCTGAGAGTGTTGGCAAGAGCCACCGCCTCCAGCCATCATTTCTTAACATCATTAAAAATTCGTTCACAAAAGGATTTAACAATGGGAGCTCACGCATCCCTAACCTCATGCCCCACCCGCACATGTCATTTCAATGTGAGAATGAAGAATAATCTATTCACTCATCTTTGTCAGCCTCCTGCACTGCACCCTCGGCTCAGCAGGAAGCGCACCTGGGAAGATGCCATCCTTCTGTGGCTCTGTAATCCACCTGTTAAATGGCTGCTTCAAGGTCAAACAAAACTTGCTAAAAGGAGGGTTTGACCTTGCCTTTGCCCCTCGAACATTTTCCAAAGAAACTCAGAGCCAACCATAGAAGAAAGAGCTTTTGTGAATGATAGAACTTATTATAGGCAGCATGCTGCCCAAAACGTACTTTGTAAAACTCTTTGGCTAAAGCCATTGATATTTATACAATTCTTACAATCACAACACAAGTCTTCAGAGGAAAGTAGCGCACAGATTTGGGTAATGACAATTAGACATAATAAGAGAAGCAGAGACAATGAGAGGGCTAGTCATGGAGGACATGCAGATTAAAACAGGCTGATGTGCTTCTTGTTGGTGGGGAAGGCTTATGAAACTGGAAGTGTTATGCTAATTTTTAATCTTAGCATCCCAAATGAGAAAGAGAATTAAGAAATCCACATTCTTATGCAGTGGAATGCAATTTTACAATATTTGCCCAAAGTTCTAAAACATTTGCATTGTCCAACCTAGTTATTTACTTCTAAAAATAATCCTAAGAAAATTATTAGACATGTGTTTAGAGACTTATGAACATTAGGCTGAGCTCAATGTTATTGTAGCATCAGAATGTGAGTAGCCAGGCTAAACATCTAATAGGATATGAATATTAAAGTCTATTTAACACAGCCATTTCATGGAATAAGGAATGCTTTGATGAGTTTGTATCAACATTGAGAAAATCCTCACAACATAGTGTTCTATGAACAAAAGTAAAATATAAAATTGATTTTTAAAGTATATAGGACATGGAAAATCTTTAGACGAAAACACAAAAAATTTATAGCACTTGCCTCCAGGTAGTGGAAATGAGTGATACATAGTTTCTTCTTTTTGTGTTTCCATATTTTTGAAAGTTTCTATAATTTAACATATTAATTTTATATTCAGAAATGTTATTTTATCAAAAAGAGTGAGACAACAATAAGTGAAAGTAGATAAAATCTGTGTAGTCCTGGCAAAAAAAAAAAAAAAAAAAAAAGCCCTGAACTTAAAGTCATGGGAAACCAGATGAAAAACATAAGTTCAGTATTGCTCAAACCATCAGAAAATGGAGATGGGAACTCTATATATAGTTCAGACGCAGAGCATAGGGCAAGGGCAAGTTTAAGAAAGAACAGATTCAACTCCAGTGGTCTTGGTTAAAGGTTTTTATCAGGACCCTGTGAAGAAATGAGGGTTATGAGCACCTGCCCCTTCCTGTGCAAAGGTGTGTCAGGGCACCTGCTAGTTAAGCGTTAGCTAGTTTTTATCATGCTTATGAAGTTCTAAATTTAAAAACCCTTCCAGCATGGTTAGAGAGAGGACATTTCCTAGCTTGCAGACTAGGCGAATGAGAGCTGGAAGAAAAGGAATCCTGTGAATCTCCTCTAGCTGGCACGCAGGAACAGACACTCCTCTCTAGGTGAGCACACACATCCCTAACGTCATGCCCCACCCACACAGCCTTGGGTCAGTGGTAGCAGGTCCTGCATAGACCCTGCCCTTGCCCTGTGCTTGCATGCTACTGCACGCACTGAGATGCATAAAAACCACCCTCAGACACTGCCATTCTACAGACCACCTCTCCCACACCCGCCCTGGCTCCTCTCTCTGGCCTTCTTGGTCCTGGACAATCCTCTGGATCCCATGCAGGGCTCCCACTTTTTATCCAGCTCCAATACTTAACAAACTTGTTTGCAGCTGGCTCAGACCTTAAAACCCTTCCACGACTCATCTTTCAATATTTGTCCTACAGCAGCCCTATGTCCCACAATAACTCCAGGCATGGAGCCCTTGCAGCAGATGCTGCCAGGGTCTCACCTATATCCCCTCTTCCTGGGCATGCCAGCCTGACTTCCACCTCCAGCATCTGCAGCTCCAGGCCTGAGGCCTTTGTCTGGTCACAAGAGACTACTCTGCCCTTGTGTGCAGCAGGTCGAAGTCACAGGGAATAAACAATTCCTTGCAAGAGCCTTCAACCAATGACAAGTAGAAGCTGGTGAATAAATACCCGGCTCCCTTGCCACTCAGATGGGATGCCCCTGAGCCCTGTATTCTTGGTGTTTCCTTGAGTTTCCCCGCTCCAGTTGTCCACAGTGGATACTCCCTTGACAACGCATCTTGGATTGGATTCCATCTCTTTCCTCTCTCACTTCCCCACCTCCCTACTGCTGTTATCTGGGATCATCACCTTAAAAAAACCACTTGCCTCTGGATTTTTTTTTCTCACAGTCTTCTGCTGGCATAAACCAAAATAAGACAGCACCTCATCCCATGCCATATGGAATCAGCCTTTGAGGCCTGACCCTCAGCTGTTTCCATGTCTGTCTATGCTGGGAGGTAGGTGGGTCAGATACAGAAGCTCGTGGGGTTTGTGTCCCTCCCGTTCGACCTCTGGGACTCACCTCTGTGGTTCCGGGCCACAATCACAGATGGGACACCAAACATCACATCTGCTATCAAGTCCAGGAACAGGTCTTTCTTTTTGACAGTGTCGTCTGTTCCTCCTAAGTATTTCTCAGTGGCTTCTGGAATCAGTTCCTTAGCAATGCACTGAAATAGATCAAAAAGTGACCACCAGCCCCGGGTGAGCGATGCAGCTTCTCCAGCCCACCAGAAAGTCCTGCCTCAATGGTGAACCCCATAAGCCCTGTGCAACTCCCCGCTAGGGTGGAAAATGAAGTGGGAAAGGTGGAAAGATGGGGGAAACCCTGAGGCCCCAGTCTTCATTCTGCCATTTAATTGCTCTATGATTTGGGCAAGTCCTTGTCCCTCTCTGGGTCTCAGCCAATTCCCATGATTCCTAGACTCTTACAACAAGGGGATAGGACTTCCACAGGAGTGACATGGCTGTCTTCTGGTCCAGTTGCCCTTCGGAGAGTGGATAGCTCATCAACTGCTAAAAAAAAAAAAAAAGTTCAGCATTTATGAATCATTGGGAATTAATGATAAGAAACAAACTGACCAACCAACCAAACCAATGCAGTCTGAAAGTCCTCTAATTATGGGGGCTTTTAAGGGCATGAGTCTTTACTGAAATGGGTGAAATCAATGAATCAAATGGGCTTATATCCAGAAACTCAAGCATTGCAAAGTTTACAAAAAAAAAAAACAAAAAACAAAATTTCAGAGAAGCTGTGGCAGTGTTTTGCAGTGTGTGTGTGTGCGCGCGTGTGTGTGTGTGTGTCTGTGGCTGGGATCCCTACAGTGGTCAGTGACATGGAGATGCAAGGTGTCTGCCAGGCCAGTGTGGAATAGAGGGCTCTGGGGAAGAGGATGTAGACCTCCCTAGTACCCCCACCTGTCACAGATGACACTGAAATCCTTAAATCCTGTCTTCGTGGCTTTGGTCTTTGGTATAACCTCTGAAATCCTTCTGAGGGGCGAACTGCACATCTCTACGCACATAACAACTCTTCCCAAACCTCTGCACTCAGGGACTCGACCAATCTCTAGCATTGCTTCTAGCAGCTTAAGGCTGTGTCCCTAGAATGACCCCAGTATCCTTAACATAACTGCCTGGGAAGGCTCAACCCTGCCAGGACAATTTACTCTGCTCCAGCCAAAACCTGGAGACAAGCAGCCAGGTCCCCGAACCCAACTAGAGCAGTTACTTTAGAAGCCTGCAATGATAAACACTTTCTCTGCCCTTTGGGATGTGAATCTACCACCCAACCCCATTTCCTTGAGGACCTGAGAGCCTTCTCTTTGCAATGCAAACATTCAGGGAGCTCACTCCTGATCTTCCCAGTCCCTGTCGAAAGAGTAGAGCCTGACTTCAGTGGGTTCTTCCTGCGGTCTAATGCATGGCTTCCTGTCCTAAAGATAAGAGGAGTTTGTTTCTGCCCCAGGTGAGCCAGGATGAAGACATCCAGGTGGTCTAGTCACATGAACCAAGCCTCTCCCCATAGACCACAGTGTTTCCCTTGGCACACCTGGCCTATGAAACGTCATCAGGCTTTTGTTTCAGGGATGTGAGTCCACTCCACGCTGGACTATTTCCCCTATTGCAATCATATTACTGAATAAATCTGTCCTACTGCTTTAACCAGGGTCAGTTTTGTTTATCTTCAACTGGAAGGAGAACACTTCTTTACTTTTAGAACTCAATTACTTTTTCCATTTATTTGTTTCCAACTTTTATTTTAGGTTTGGGGGTAACTGTGCAGGTTTGATCATGGGTAATTTGGGTCTCTGGAGTTTGCTGTATAGATTATTTTGTTACCAGGTATTGAGCATAGCACCCGATTAGGTAGCTTTTCCATCCTCATCTTCCTCTGACCATCCACTCTCTTAGTAGACGCTGATGTCTGCTGTTCCCTAGAAGTCAATGGTAACTCAAGAAGAAGCCACTTTCTTTGGATATTTTCAATGAGGTGATGAAGAGCATGAGTGATTTTCAGGGGAATTACGCACACCCAGCCCGAGGTGGGAAGCCAGGAAGCCCCCGACTGCTTCTCCGGACTCCTCCACTCCTTCCCCCTTCTAGGCCCCCTCCGTTTTCCCATCTGCAGAGTTATTTTCTCTACTGGCCCTCCCAGCACAGACACTTCAGGATTCTTCAATAGGAAGACAATAAGAGAGTCTGGGGAGAGGGAATCCCAGGGCCCTGATACCCCGGTGAAAACTGTGCCCTCCTGGAGAAGATTTCCGTGGAAATGTTAACTCCTGCTGAAGGGAACAGCTGCCCAGGACTCAGAGTGCAGCTCGGAGAGGGAAGCATTCCTGGGACCAGAGACAGGAGGGCTGATGGGGGTGGTTGAGTCCCTCCAACAGACATGTGCCTTCTCACCATTGGAATCAACCAGCCAAACTCCTGCTTGTTAATTCCGACCATGTAGGGGACAGTGTGGAAATTCCTTTCAGCTTGAAGCTCTTCAGGTGTTTTCAGCAGCAGCATCCCATCAATCACAGTGCCCAGAAGGGGTTGACTCTGGGGAGAGAGCAGTGCAGCACCTGTGATTCCCTCCCTAGTCACACCCATGTCCCCAACTCTGCCTGTCTGAGGGTGAGACCAGTACCATAGACCGGCATGGCCATGCGCCATGGCTGCACATGCTCAGGATCCTAACTTAGGGGGGTAGGTCTCCATGACTCAGGGGCAGAACTTCAGGCAGAGGCTGACACTGCTCAGGTGATGAGGAGAGGAAGAAATCTTCACTCATATTGAAATACATGTATTATCTATGTAAAATTACATGTCTATATATTTCAATTTGAAGTGCATGCATTTTCCTCTGTGTGTCCACAATTGATTTTCGGTAGTCCTGGCAGTTGCTTCTGATAAAGCCCCCGTGAGTACTGAATTAGAGAATACAGGGTCATCACTCAAGGGGGAAATACTGGGTTAGGTTTTTGCAAACCTCTGGCCACAACATTTTCATCAACCTTCTTTTATGTGTGGGTTTCTGTTGAAAGAGACTTCCACGGCTCCATCCCACACAATAGGTGTTACTTTAGCCCTTTCTATCACAGCCTCATGTATGAATCGGCCAATTTCCTTCTCCTTTTTCTGAATGTGCTATTATGTGGATTTTTCAACACCAAATGCACGGCCAGCAGCACTGCAGCTCCTGCCTCATCCAAGCTTGTCTCACACAGGCACCTTCCCCGTAAGGCACAGCACAGCCTGTTTAGCTCAGGAACGCCAGACAGCAGCGCTACTCTTGGGTTCGCTCTAAACAGTGACATCACTACAAAAAGCACAAAAATGCAGAACACACGGCACTAAATAGACCGCGAAGAGGACACTTGTAAACATCAGAGATGAAACAAGAAGAGAGAGGTTGCCTCGCCGGATCTCAGATGGAACATGCCCATCATGCAAATCCAGCTTCCCCTGCTCTGTACCTGCCTGTGTGTGACCATGAAAGTGCCACCAGTATTGATTTGGGGGTTATAAGGACATTTTAGCAAGCAGGTGAATTTATAAACACAGAATCCATGATTAATGAGGAAGAGATTATGCTATCTATCTGTATTTAAACAAGAGCTGTTATTGATCCACGGGTGGCTTTGAGGAGGTACCGAACCCTGGTCACTCAAGGAGCCTAGACTAGGACATGATTCCCTACTAGAGAGAAAATCATGAGTAAAAGAATCAGTGATTAACTCACAGTATATTGATCCATGTCTTAATTTTAGGTTTCACCTTTGATGAATAATTTTTATATGGTCACAGATTAGAGAGAGCCCAACTCATGTGTTGCCATCAGGGCAGCTGGTTCTGGGTACAGTTATATTTCATATTTAGTCACAATGGTGTAGTTGCTACGATAGAGCGTGGATGTTGCTAAGATAGAGCATGGACTTTGAAACCAGATTAACTGCATCTGAAGCCTGGCTCTGCTACTTACTGGCTGGGAGTTTCACCTGTTTGGGCCTCAGTTTTCTCATCTAAGAGGTGAGTTATTGTGAGGATTAAATGGCTGAACACATGTAAAATACTTAGCACAGCACCTGGTGTCTGGAAAGGCTGAATAACTGTTAGGTATTACTTGTTAGCAAGGTTGCTGTGGGTCCCTCTCATAGACACCAGTCCTCTGTGGAATCTTCCCAGTTCCACGCCCCATGGGCTGTATTTCCCTTCTGGATATCAGATGGAACTGGACAATTCCTAGCCTTTGAGACCCTATGGCTTCTGGGACCTTTGGTCTGCTCTACAAAAGCCAATGAATGACGAGCTAGTTCGGACTGCCTGGGGGAGATGTTCTGAAAAGTGGACCAGACCTAGCTGGACAAGATCAGATCCTAATCCAATATGGCTGACAATGAAGAACAGGATTGGGGTGCAAGTCCAGCCTCCTTAAGAGGCTGTGCAGTTCAGGCAGGGCTGCTGTGGGAGGCCAGCAAGAGGAGCAGCCCCTCTGGAAGGAAGATGCAGGGCAGACTACGTGGAAGAGACGCCGCCTGCCTGCGGTGGGCTCTGGGCAGTGAATGGTATTGCCAGGTGAGGAAAGGAGTGAGAATTTCTAAACAGTGGGAACCGCATGAGCAAAAGGACATAGGTGTCACTGTGCAGGGTAAATTCCAGAAACAACCAAGAGTTCTTGGCTTGGAGAAATGCTGTGGGGCAGGGTCTAGAGGGAGGGACAGGTGCAGAGCCTACCTTCTGCACAGTCTGGCACACAGTGTGCACGCAGGTGTGTTTTGAAGGACTAACTCCATGGAGGGAAGGGGATTTGTCTCATAAGGAAGGTCAGGCTTTTAAGAAGTGGGGGTGACGTGCTCTAATTCTGTTAAGGAAGGCCAGTCTGGCTGCACCATGAGACATGGAAATGGGGAGAGAAGGTGAAGTAGAAGAGGCTAAAAGTTGAGGCAAGAGACGGGAGCACCTCAGTTGGGTGACAGCCATGCTGGAAGACTGCCATCAGCAACAATGACAAGTGATTGTTCTCCACTTAGAGTTTGCAAGTGGCTGCCCTGTGTGGGCACAACCTTGTTGTGTCAGAAAACTCAGGGCGTCCTCCACTCCTCCCCGTTTCTTACCCCTTGCATCCTGTCCATCAGCAAATCCTGTCAGCTATTCCTTCAAAGATATCCAGACTCCAACTACTCCTCCCATCCCCACTGCCACAGCCCTGTCTAAGCAGCCAGGAGCCCTTGCCTGGATTATGGCAATGCAGTGGCTGCCCAGCTGGTCAACTGCATCCACTTTGCCCCTTTCCTACAGTCTATTTGAACACCAGAGACAGAGACCTTTGTGAGATCTAAGATCATGTGACTCCTCTGTTCAAAACCTCCAAAGGCTTCCCATCTTGCTCTGAATCCAAATCCAAGTACTTTAATTGATCTCTCTCCCACTGCCCATTACCTCTTTAGCCTCAAGCCAGTCTGTCCCCACACTCGGTCCTCTCCAGCCAGACTGGCCCCTTCTGTCAGGGTCTTTGCAGTGACTGTTCCCTCTGCCTGGAATAGGCTTCTCCAGGTTTCCTGACAGCTGGCTTCCTGCCTCCTCCAGAGCTTGGCTCAAATGCCACCTTCTCATTGAACCATTCCCTGATCCTGCTACTTAAATTGAAGCCACCCACAAACTCTATCCCCTAATGCTGCACACCATCAAACGGAATACATACTTGATTTGCTTTTTTATTGCACTGTCCTGGCACTGTAATGGAAGGTCCCAAGAGGGTAGGGAGTCTTTCTTTTTTCACTGTTATATCCCCAGCTCCTAAACAAGTCCTGGCACATAGGAAGTGTTTATTAAGTCTTTGCTGAATGAATCTCATGTACTCCGCCCATGACCATTTAGGAGAGTGCTGTGATCTCCAGGGAGGCAGCAGAGAGGACAGGATTGTAAGATTCGTCAGAGGTGATGTCACCAGAAACTGTCAACCCACTGGGAGGTGGGGGTGGGAGTGGGGATGAGGAGATTGGGAGAATACTGTTGGAGTTTCCTGTGTGCTGGGAGGAGACGAGTGTCCTTGGACTGAGATTTAGGCTTCCCCTCTCCTTGGCTAATCATCGCTGTTATCTCTGCCTCCTGATTGTGGAAGGTTCTGTTTCAGCCTCCTCCTACAGTGCCATTTTGGGGAGCAGAAAATGTAAAAAAGAAGGGGAGTGGGCAGAGCCCAGGGCACACAGAGGTGATGCCTGGGAGCACTGGACTGGGAGTCAGGAAAATGGGTTCCAGGCCAGCCACTAGTCTTCCTGGCTGTGTTACCCAGGTGAGTCACTACCCCTCTCTGGGCCTCAGAAACAAACACGCAGGAGTTACTATAATTACCCAAGAGATGATTCTTTCACTCACAGTTAATTGGAGCTTAAAGGTGCTAAGACTCAAAACCCGTAATCCAGAAACAAAAGGTCCTTACCTCTCTGGGGTCTCCCTGTAAGTCCAGAGATAAGAATTTCTGTGAAGACAAAGGCAGAGGATGTGGGTGAGAGGCTTACCAGGAGAACACTGAGCTGGGTGAGTGGGGCAACAGAGGTGTCAGGTTCTTCCCGCATCACTCCGTGAATTCGTATATCTATATGTGACCTGCGGTGCTCCATCTCCCTGAACATGAATATTAGTTCAGGGATGGGCATACACTCATGTCAATCCAATAGAGTTTACCCCAAAACTTTTGCAGGAATTGTTTAGAAAGAGGGTTTTTAAGCAGATAGGACATAAGTCTAGAGTGCTGTTGTCTTTAACCTTCCCAGGAGATATATCTGCCTAAGAGTGAAGCCAACACAGAGATGTGCAAAGCTGAAGGACAGAGAATGGTAGATTCTCAATAATATCCTATGATCATCTGGACCCAGCCATGCCTGAAGCCATCAACTCCTGAGATTTTCAGTTTACACGACGATGCTATTGCAACACATTTCTTTTTCTGTTCAAGGTACTTGGGAGAGTTTCCTCATCTCCCATTAGAAAGCCCTGACTCACGCAAGCTCACTGAGTCTCATCCTACCCCATGCTTCTCTTTGGTGTGTGTTCACCAAGATTGCAGTGACTGTAGTGTTGCACTGTAGTTCCCAGATCTGACCTGTGCTCAGGATGTAACCAGTGCAGGTCCCTCCATTAAGGATTGAAGTCCCACTAGCCAGGAGTGTGTGTGTGTGTGTGTATGAGTGTGTCTGTGTGTGGCTCTTTGTGTGTGGGTGTCTGTGTGTGTCTCTGTGTGTGTGTGTCTGTATGTGTTTCTCTGTGTGTGTGTCTGTGTGTGTGTGTGTTTGTCTGTGTGTCTGCATGTGTGTGTACTGGAGGCAGCGCGTAATCATGGAGGTGCTTCCACAAGATCTCAGAAAAACTCAAAAGAATGTTCTAGGATCTTAGGGATGGGTTTTCCCAAAGACTCAACTCTTCCCTTTTAAGCTGGGTCCTCTGATGCCACATGCAGAATTGCTGGAATATTTGCCTCCTTCCGGGCGTTAGAAAACAGTTGTGTTTTCATTCCTTGAACACTTTGGTCACTTAGAGCCTGAGCCAAGACCTAAGCACCAATACCACATTGGACTCAACTCATGGAAACACAAGCAGAGTCCAGTGGTAGAGGCCAGCCCTGGGATCCAGGAGTAGCCTCAGGTCCAAGGAGAGAGTCCAGGCTACTCCTGAGCTTGGAATTCACACTCTTCCCCCTCAAAGGGAATAGTTCCCAATGGCCCTGGGTGCTGTGTCATCTGGGTGTTTGTCCTCCTGGTCTTCCCTGTGATGAGAGACTGCCATGGCCATCCAACAATCCTAAAGGTCCCCAAGTCCTAATATGTGAGGATGGCAGGGAGCAGGGAAGGCAGAAGATACTCTAGACCCGCAGGTGTCGGTTCTGGGTCCTACAGTGTTGCCTCTGTGACTAATTTGAACTGTGACATGGGGCAATTACAAAATTTATCTGTCTTTGTTACCTCTGTTAAAATGGGCACAATGATCTGAAAGCTGAATTTCTCAGGAAAGATAAGGTGGAGTCAGGATTAAGGGCATGAACTCCTGAATTCCACTGTCTGGTCTCAAATCTGGCTCCTCCGCCTTCTCTGTGAAGCATCCCTGATTACTACAATGAATGCTTCCCCTCTGTGCTGCCACCATACTCAACCTGCGAAGTATATGAATGTATTTCTCTTTGGATAGTTCCTTGAGAGCAGGGACTATGTCCACTTCATGTCTGTTTTGCTACCTCTAACACCCACCCCTACATATTTAGCATGGATGGATGGATGGATCAATGGAGGGATGGATGGAGTTGGTCAATACATGGAGTACAGTTGAATTGAATGGATACATGAATAGATGGGTGAAAACTAGCAGACAGGCGATAATTGGATTGTTGATTTTGGAGGAATGGGTGATGGAGTTGAGATATAAGGTGGCTGGATGATCCATGAATGGTGAATGGATTGAAAATAGATAAATACAAAGTTATGAATAGGTTGACATTAGATTGATAAAAAGATATGAGTGAATTGGATGAATTAGTGAACAGATAGATGGATAAGACAATCATAGATAGACGGATTAACGAATGGGTGGATGGATGACTATCCTAGGATGACAACTGAGTCAGTCTCAGAAAATCTAGAAAACTGGACCACCACTAGGTCTAATACAGACAGTTTCTAAGTCAACCAAGATAAATTGTGACATCTTTCTGAAAATCTTTGAGCTTAATATCTCCATCCCCCAAATTCAGGATGATGGTGTCCCCTGGGAATATGTAACATTTAATTTCTTAAAAATACATCTGAAAACAAGAATGGCAAAATATTAAATTTTGGTCAGGACTGGGGATTGTTACACAATTTTTTATCATGTTATTTTTTGACTTTCTTTTTTTACATTTGTGGCATTTTACAATAAAAAAGGACAAATCAGATTCCCCATTCAGATACTGAGAGTTGAGAAATTGTCCCAGGAAACTGTCCCTGGGCAAGAGGACAGCTGAAATGAAGAAGTCTGGGACCAAGTTTACAGGGTTTGGGCTACGGGAACAGGCAACCTAACATTTTCAATGTCGTCTCCAAGAGCTCCTCTTCCGTCTTCTGTCGCAGGCAGTGAACCATGACAGCAGAGGTGGTGGTTTTGCACCCAGCAGTGATAGCAATTTGCTGCAAAGATCACAGGCAACAACAGAGTTCAAGAGCGACATCCCTTCCCTCCATCAAAGAGGAAAGTGGCATTCTATCCCAAGCCCAACTTGTACTAGTGGCAGGGAGCAGCAGAAGATACTGTAGACCCGTGGGTGTGGGTTCCAGGTCCCACGGAGCGTTGCCTCTGTTACTAATCTCAATTGTAACATGGGTCAATTATGTAATCTCTCATCTCTGCTACCTTATCTCCATTGAAATGGACATAATCATCTCAAGGTGAATGTGTCAAGAAATGTGAGGTGGAGCTGGGATAGAGAGCATGGAATCCTGAATTTCCTTGTCTGCTTTCAAATCCTGGTTGTTCCACTTACCAGCCATTAGGCAGACCCAGAGAGACACAAGACACCATCACTGCCCAACATGGCACCAGGCCCTGGCACATAGGAGGAGTGTGGTCACAGATAGGGCACTGTACTGGCTGCTAGGGCCATGAGCTGGAGTCCCAGCTCTGCCCTGATCACCTGCTGCCCTTGGCAAATCCCTTCCAAGCCCTGTGTCGGTTTGCCTGGCTGTGAAACTGGGACGCTGATCAAGGTGTCTCCTCGCCCTTCCTGCTCAGCCATTGGTGCCTCAGTGATTCTAGGAGAACATTAGCTACAACCGACCACAAGAGAGATCCCTGAGGATTCAGGAGCATAGAGCCAAGGAGGTGGGGGTGTCCAGCCGGAGACGTACCAGCCGGAGACCTACCTCAGCCAAGGGCTTGACATCACCTTTCTTCACCAGAACAGAAGTGAGGGCCACGCCACTCTCAGAAATGGCCCGGTGGAAGAGGTTCTTGGCCAATGGAGACAAAACCTGACAGCAGAGTGGAGGGGAGGAGAGTTCATGCTCAGGAGTGGGGTCAGTGACTCACTCGCTATTCCAGGCTAGATCTACTCCACTATAAAACCAACACGGGACTGAGGAATCCAGTAGTGGGCTGACCCTCTGCCCACCTCAAGGAGGTGGAAGTCTTCCTACAGCTCCCAGCACCTCTCATCTGGGTTTTCATCCCAGATCCCCCAGTGTCTCCTGAACCCAATCCCCAATCCCAGCAGGACCCCTCACACCCAAGGTTGTGTCTATGACCCACAACCCCTGCCCCATCCCTCCCTATCCGCGGCTCCATCCCTCCTTCCTCTGCCTGCCTCCCCTAGCCCACTGGACCCCACAGTCACAAAGACTGTCGCCTCCTTCTTGGGCATGGACAAGCCATCAGACCACCCCAGAGGAATTC